>NC_000022.11:31133806-31285321 GCF_000001405.40 Homo sapiens | reverse complement strand
TGGGAGAGGAAGTTGGAGGCAGCATACAGTAGGGCCTTACTTATTAAGAAAGCAGGAAATAAATGTTGGCTGCTCTTGTGATTATTACCTGTAGCTGCCTTGGGAACTTTTCCTGAGCAGCAGTGTGGCACAGCACTGCCTCTGACTGGGAAAATAGCAGCGGCTCAGAGTAATAATTGAAGACGACCTGTGTAGTCTGAATGAGGTCTGTGGTGCTTCCATACTCTGGGAGAGGAAGTTGGAGGTAGGCAGCAGCTTCCTCTACACCTGCTCTCTCTGGCCAGCTCAGCTCCCAGTCCCACCCTGGCCTTGGAGCAAGCAGTCAGGGTAGGTACTGTAAGCCTTGAGCTCTGCCAAAGGCCATGAGGCTTGCCTAATGGGATGGAGCTTTTCCCTGGCTGGGATGGGTGGGCAGGCACCAGGCTTCCTCTTAGGGAGGGAGGGCTGTAAATGGGGGTGGGTGGGAGCTCAGCCTGGCCGGGTCTTTGTCCTGGTAGTCTAGGCCACGAGGTTCAAATGGCCAGTCTGTGACTGAGGAGCTAAGTGTACTGTCTGCACTAGCTTCAGAGGGAGGTCTTATTTTCTGATAAAAAGGGGAGGGAAAAACTGTAAGTCAACACCACTCCACTCCCTTAGGAGAGGAACTAAGTCAGTGAACAAGCCTTTTGTTCTTTCTTGGCTGCCACACAACACCCAGGCTAACCACCCCCTACCCCCAAGCAGTGAGAAGGGGCTAGGCTGCCTGATGGTCAGTGTAGCAGGCCTAGTGGCCTCTCAAAGGTCACCCAAGGGAGCTGGGAGCAGCCACTGCATCTCTAGGACTCACAGGCACCATTAACAGCAGGCACATGGGATTGAGTGTGCTTCCAGGCTTCCAAATGGATGAGACTAATCCAGACTAGTGCCAGCATCTGCTTTCTTTACCCTTGACTGCTCTTCCAGCCCTGCTCTGCCTCATTAATACAAATTGATTTTTTTCCCCTAAAGACTTGTATATGATGCAGCCTGGCCATTAGCAGCAGCTCAGCTGGCCACAGGTAAAGGAGGTTGCTGAGGAAAGCAAGGCGCGGAAGTTAAACTCAAAAGCCTCAGTTTCTTCATCTATAAAACAGGGATTAGGCTGGGTGTGGTGGCTCACGCCTGTAATCCCAGCACTTTGGGATGCTGAGGCGGGTGGATCACCTGAGATCGGGAGTTCGAGACCAGCCTGACCACCATGGAGAAACCCCATCTCTACTAAAAATACAAAATACTCTGGGCGTGGTGGCGCATGCCTGTAATCCTGGCTACTTGGGAGGCTGAGGCAGGAGAATCGCTTGAACCTGAGAGGCAGAGGTTGCAGTGAGCCGAGATTGTGCCATTGTACTCCAGCCTGGGCAAAAAGCACGAAACTCCATCTCCAAAAAAAAAAGCCTGTAGCTGACATTTAGTAGATGCTTATTAAAAGTAATAAGCATCTCTGGGAGGCTGTCTCACAGCAGGATGATCAGGTCAGTTTTCTGGACAACTTTATGGGTTAGGTCCGAAGTTCAGATAGTTCTCTGGGTCTCTGGGGCTGAAAGAACAAAACTGTGTCTTGCTTTAAGAGTCTCTATCTGGCCAGGTGCAGTGGCTCACGCCTGTAATCCCAGTACTTTGGGGGGTGGGAGGATCGCTTGAGCCCAGTAGTTTGAGACCAGCCTAGGCAACATGTTGAGACCCTGTCTCAACCATAAAAAAAAAAAAAAAGTCTCTGTCCTTTACTTTATTTTCATTGAGCCCCGGTGAAGCTGTATGAAGTCCATACTGCTGTCACCCTATTTTACAGATGGAGAACCTAAGACCAGAGGTGCAGGAGCTTCTTGTTGAGTTTAACGCCGTCTTGCAGAATGGATATCCTAGAATCCTGGACCTGAGTTTGGGTCCTGGCTCAGCCACTGATTTGTTGTGACAATGGCAAGCTGCTGCTCTTGCTGAGCCTCAGGGATGCTATCTAATGAGCAAAGCTATGCAGGAGGCATAGCCTGAATGTTTGTTTGTTTTTTTCCTGCCAGGGGGAAGGATTTGAAAGAACAGCATGATCAGAAAGTATGTGAGAGGGAGATGCAGCGAATCACTCTGCCCTTGTCTGCCTTCACCAACCCCACCTGTGAGATTGTGGATGAGAAGACTGTCGTGGTCCACACCAGCCAGACTCCAGTTGACCCTCAGGAGGGCACCACCCCCCTTATGGGCCAGGCCGGGACTCCTGGGGCCTGAGCCCCCCCAGTGGGCAGGAGCCCATGCAGACACTGGTGCAGGACAGCCCACCCTCCTACAGCTAGGAGGAACTACCACTTTGTGTTCTGGTTAAAACCCTACCACTCCCCCGCTTTTTTGGCGAATCCTAGTAAGAGTGACAGAAGCAGGTGGCCCTGTGGGCTGAGGGTAAGGCTGGGTAGGGTCCTAACAGTGCTCCTTGTCCATCCCTTGGAGCAGATTTTGTCTGTGGATGGAGACAGTGGCAGCTCCCACAGTGATGCTGCTGCTAAGGGCTTCCAAACATTGCCTGCACCCCTGGAACTGAACCAGGGATAGACGGGGAGCTCCCCCAGGCTCCTCTGTGCTTTACTAAGATGGCCTCAGTCTCCACTGTGGGCTTGAGTGGCATACACTGTTATTCATGGTTAAGGTAAAGCAGGTCAAGGGATGGCATTGAAAAAATATATTTAGTTTTTAAAATATTTGGGATGGAACTCCCTACTGACCTCTGAGAACTGGAAACGAGTTTGTACAGAAGTCAGAACTTTGGGTTGGGAATGAGATCTAGGTTGTGGCTGCTGGTATGCTTCAGCTTGCTGGCAATGATGTGCCTTGACAACCGTGGGCCAGGCCTGGGCCCAGGGACTCTTCCTGTTTCATAAGGAAAGGAAGAATTGCACTGAGCATTCCACTTAGGAAGAGGATAGAGAAGGATCTGCTCCGCCTTTGGCCACAGGAGCAGAGGCAGACCTGGGATGCCCCAGTTTCTCTTCAGGGATGGATAGTGACCTGTCTTCATTTTGCACAGGTAAGAGAGTAGTTAGCTAACCTATGGGAATTATACTGTGGGGCCTTGTGAGCTGCTTCTAAGAGGCTAACCTGGAAACTAAGCTCAGAGGCAAGGTAATAAAGCACTTCAGGGCTTGCTCCCCAAGTGGGCCTGATTTAGCAGGTGGTCCTGCGGGCGTCCAGGTCAGCACCTTCCTGTAGGGCACTGGGGCTAGGGTCACAGCCCCTAACTCATAAAGCAATCAAAGAACCATTAGAAAGGGCTCATTAAGCCTTTTGGACACAGGACCCCAGAGAGGAAAAAGTGACTTGCCCAAGGTCGTAAGCAAGCTACTGGCATGGCAAGAGCCCAGCTTCCTGACGGAGCGCAACATTTCTCCACTGCACTGTGCTAGCAGCTCAGCAGGGCCTCTAACCTGTGATGTCACACTCAAGAGGCCTTGGCAGCTCCTAGCCATAGAGCTTCCTTTCCAGAACCCTTCCACTGCCCAATGTGGAGACGGGTTAGTGGGGCTTTCTATGGAGCCATCTGCTTTGGGGACCTAGACCTCAGGTGGTCTCTTGGTGTTAGTGATGCTGGAGAAGAGAATATTACTGGTTTCTACTTTTCTATAAAGGCATTTCTCTATATACATGTTTTATATACCTCATTCTGACACCTGCATATAGTGTGGGAAATTGCTCTGCATTTGACTTAATTAAAAAAAAAAAAAGACTCCACATTGCCAAGTTTTTGAGGGGTAACAGGAACCCTCCGTGTAAGTTGAGAAGCTTTGGGTTACCTTGTCAACACCTATGTGGCAAGCTCTGGGCCTTTTCTTCATTCATCCTCGCCCTGTTACTGGAAAGTGACAACTGCAGCCTGTGTCCAGATTTTTTTTTTTGAGATGGAGTTTGGCTCTTGTTGCACAGGCTGGAGTGCAATGGCATGATCTCGCCTCACTGCAACCTCTGCCTTGTGGGTTCAAGCGATTCTCCTGCCTCAGCCTCCAGAGTAGCTGGGATTACAGGTATGTGCCACCACACCTGGCTAATTTTTGTATTTTTAGTAGAGACGGGGTTTCACCATGTTGGTCAGGCTGTTCTCAAACTCTTGATCTCAGGTGATCCACCTGCTGAGGCCTCCCAAAGTGCTGAGATTACAGGCTAGAGCCACCGTGCCCGGCTTGTGTGTCCAGATTATCATCATCAGGAATCTTTCAGGTTGAAGCAGGAAAGACAGGTGTGCAGGCGTCCCAACAAGGTGGTTGGTCATTGCAAATCCTCTCCCCTTCAGCAATTGTTTCCAAGGTGGAGGTAGTTAAAATGAATATCTAGACAGCCCTTGTTAAAGGCTGGAGTGCGGCAGGGGTTGGGTGGTGGGTGACGGGGGTGGTGCTGCAGCAGCCAAAGGGGGAATAACTGCAGAGGAGGAAGGGTCACTGGGCTGCCTGCAGCAGCCCTGGGCTGAGGAAGTTCCCTGCAAGGTGACTACTATGACTCCAGAAGAAAAGATACCAACAGGAGTGTCTCCTGGACTTTTAGCAAGGGATTTCAGCCACAGGTTATCAGCCTCAGGAACACCCAGATGACCTCTGCCCATGCCCAGCCATTGCTCTGTGGTTCTGCCAGCAATGCGTACTCCAGATCATCAGTTTTTTTCGGGAACCATATTCTGTCCTTAAGTTGGATTCTTCAAGCTTTGAGAGTGCCTGGGAGAAAACACCTTTGGGTTTACAGATTTATATTGTGCCCAAGGCCCCACTAACCAGATAGCATTGTCCTTCCCAATGGTCACTCTTCTACGACATCCCCCACATGCAGAAGCAAGAAGAAACTGGTCTTCTCCTCTCAAGCACTTGTAAAGAAACACAAGGGGTGGGGTGACTTGCATTCATTTCTTCCCATTGCAAAGGTGGCACCCAGCACTGAGGAAAGCAAGCCAGGATACCCAGGCTATGGAAGTATTCATATAGAGAGGATGAAAGGGTAGGGCTCCTAAGGAATGACTCAGCTGGCATGTGAGAGCCAGGCCAGGAAAAGGTCATAGTCAGTCACACCTGCTGCAAGGAAGGGGCTGCCTCAGGTGGGATGTACATATTCTCTAGAGCAGATGGGTGTCTGCTTGAGGGTTTTAGACTTGGGTGCATGAAAACTCTCTGCTATGGGGAGTTTGTGTGGGCTAGGCCAGAAGGTGGCTAGCAGACCCTCTACATTTATGTCCCTGAGCCAATCATGTTTTCACTCTCCATATTGCCAGTTATGTTAACTGCTTAATTTATTTAGTCTGATCAATGGCCCAGTTCAGGCCCACCACTCCTACACTTGCTGGGGACAGCCAGGAAACAACCAGCCACACAATGCTGAACTGTGCTGCTGCTGGGAGTCCAGGGCTCAGCCCTAAAGCAAGCTTGCAAACTTCACACATAAGTACAGTCTATATAGCAAGTAAACTCTGACCAGAGATGACATCTGGTCCCACAACTCATCAGGTCTATGTACAATATTTCACATACCACCCAATAGATAAGATAATATTAACAGCAACCACTCTCCTTTATCAATTCCCCCTGCTCCAATACAACCACCACACATTGCATTAATACCCCAAACCCATTCCCAATTTATTAAATATGGTGCAAGCTCATAGACACTTAGAAGAGGCAAATCTAGTTGTGATGAAGAGTTCCTAGAGCTCTGGGAGCCAAGATGGAGGTTTTCCAGTACCTGCACATGTGGCTCAGGAGGATGCTGCCCAGGAGCTAATGAGTTGGGAGAGCAAACATGGGAGGTAGAAGTCAGATGGCCCAGCTCAGGGAGCTATCTCTCTCAGCATCTCAGCTTTGAGACTCTGCCACCACCTCTTCCCAGCCCAAGCTGCTGCCTAAACCAGGCATGTTGAAGGGTGAGCAGTGGTTGCCATGAAGCCAAGACCAAGAGATTGCTGAGACTCCCACTCCCCTCCCTCAGACTCTAGGCCTGTGACAAGCCACACTGTCCTCCAGAACCCATCGAGCTTTAGGCAAAATGTTTTAGGCATCTGACTAAGGAGCCCACCCGAGTATGAGTAACAGAAGCCAAGATCTGAGCTTTCTAGAGGGCAGGGCCTCTTTCTAGTCCCCCAGCCTCTTCCTTTGCTTGTGACTGTTTGTTTCAGACAGAAAGGATGTTGTCCGTAAGTTCTCAGCCAGTCTCCAGTATTAAGTTTGAAAACATGAGGTGGAGGCTTCCTCTCACATTGATGTGGTCCCTGGGCTGGCTAGAGCCAGTGAGCAGGTAAACAGAAGCCAGCCCTTTCTCTAACTCCTGGCCTGTTCCACCACATATTAAGGGACTCTTCAAAACCTACTCCCTCAACCTTGCTCCAGGAAGGACAGGATCTGGAGTAGAAAGGGGGAGCATCACTGACTTTTTCACACCCTTTGAGCCATCAGTCTTTCTTTCGTCCACACACTTGAAGTCCTCCTGCACCCAGCTGGACTAGTGACTTCAGAGTTCACAGGCAGGTTCACCCTGGGATCCTGCCCAGCAGGTCCAGGTCACGCTGATTAGTGTAAGCAAGAGCCTCCCACAATCCACTGCCAGGGAGTTCCTGGGTGGATTCGAGTAACAGATTCCTCCTGGCCCAAAGGCCAGGGGTTTTTTTCTTCTTCACAGCTTTCAGGCAAGTATTGGATTTACAGACAGTAACTAGGCCCCAGAACCTGTGGAGATACATTTCCCTGGTGCTGCGCCCACTTGCCTCCTGGGGAGGTAATAGGAATGGCTTGTTCTGCTTCTAAACATTCCGCCAATCCACAGGAAGCCCGGACGGCCCTGCTCACAGCAGGAATGGGGCACAGAGGGGCAATGCTGGCTGTAGAACACCCCCCTGCAGGGGGCTGGGCCAGGGCTAGGGAGGTGAGTCCCGGGTCAGGCCGTACTGCATGCTCACAGTGTGGTCCAACTCCTCCAGCTCTGCAGGCAGCGGGATGCCCAGCTCCCCCAGGTACAGGGAGAGGGCCTCAAAGGAGTCCTCCAATTTCGAGAATGCTGGTCTAGAAGGAAAAGAGGTAAATTAGAGGCAGGTGGAACATGAGCAGGGCCATGGGGTGGGTGGAAGGGATCTAGGCTCAGCTACTTCCTGGTTGTATAACGTCAGGCAAACTCCTTCACCTAGTAGTGCCTCTGTGAGAAATGGGCATAATGTTACCGGTACCTCATATATTTGCTATAAAGATTAGGTAACACTATAACAAGGCTGGACTAGCTGGAGTTAATACTTAAAAACAATAGGAGAAAAACTTCCCTCCCATATCTTAGAGAAAATGCAGTTATCAAAGGTGGAATCGGAAACACCAGGCTCCTAGTGCCACGGAAATGGCTTGGCTGCCCCGGAAGCCTAAGACAGCTCAGGCTTACTCCTCCTCCTCCATGTTTATGCTTAAATGTCATGTCACCTCAGTGAGGCCTGCTCTGACGACCATATTTAAAATTGCAACTGGTACCCTGAACAATCGTCTTTACTTGTCTTGACTCTTTTTCCATAGCATCTGCCACATTCTAATATTCAATATAGTTTACTTATTGTATCTACTGTATGATACAGTAGATACCATGCTAGAATCTATGTTCTATGAGGGTAAGCACCTTTATTTTGTTCGCTGCTGTAACCCAAGTGTTTAGAACTGTACCTAGCACACAGTAGGCATTCAATACTGTATATATATATTTTTTAATAAATTAAAGATATTTAGAATGACAAGAGGTATTAGAAAACAAATACTGTGTAGCTTCACAATTTCTCCTCAAGCTTTTACACTGGTGTTACTGAAGGACTGCGGTCCTTGGCCTATAAAGGAACAAGGTATAGATTCTCCCACCAGAAAATTTCAACTCTAATGTGGACCGCTGGAAATCATTTTTTTTTTTTTTTTTGAGCTGCACCAAAGGCGTACCCTACCTCGCTTTATTAAAGGGCCCGTGCCGCAGAGTCAATATAAAAACACAAAGTCCCATCAGTTTAATAACAATAAAAAAATCCAAAA
The DNA here is from genome assembly GCF_000001405.40 of Homo sapiens. Lineage (NCBI taxonomy): Eukaryota > Metazoa > Chordata > Mammalia > Primates > Hominidae > Homo > Homo sapiens. The sequence continues at coordinate 31,277,306 of NC_000022.11, read as the reverse complement.
GTGGAAAACTGAGGGGGCAGGGGAAGAGACCCCTGGGCCAGGGGCACGAGGAGCCCTGCTCATGGAACCAGGCCTGGCCGCAGGGTCCCCCGGTATTGCTGTTGCTACGAGGTCGGGGGGTAGCGATTGTCCTATGGGAGCCACCGTTCGCCTGGGTCGGGGACCCTCACTTCTTCTGGGGTGTGCTCAGCTTCTGCATGGCCCGGATCTTGTCCAGCAGGCCAGAGATGAAGGCCTCTGTGGGTTTGTAACAGTCAACCAGCAGCTCCTTGACCCTGGAAGCCCAGGCATCGTCACTCTCCATGTCCAGGAGCTCATCCACGTCAATCTCTAGTTCTGAGATCTCCTCTTCCTGGCAGTCGTAGAGGCGCGTGAGCTGCTCCAGGATCCACTCCTCTAGGTTGAGGTGCTTCCGTAGCTCCTTGGGGTCATACTTGATGGTGACCTTCCCTTGGCGCCTCACTGGGCCCTCATCATCCGCGCAGCCCGGGCCCTCTCCTGCGGCCCCGGGGGGGGCTCTGAAAGTAGATGCGTGGTCCTTGGCCGCCACTGCCTGGCCTGGGGGCCGGGGCCGGGGCCGCCAACGCCGCGCCCCCCGCGGTGCCGCTGTCCGCCACGGCGGCCTCCGGGGCCACGTGCGCGCGTGGGGCCCCTCCTTGTGCCGCCGCCTCCGTGACGCCCGCCGGCTGGCTCAGGTTAGCTCGCCGGCTCCGCGGCGAGGGCGGCGGCGGGGGCGCCCGGGGGCAGCTGCAGCATGCGGAGCCCCCGGGCCTGGCCTGGTCGCGCCCCGCCCCCTCCCCGCCGATCCGCCCGCCCTTTGTCCCCTGCGGCCGCCGCCGGGGCTGCCGCCGCCGAAGCGCTTTCTCTATCCGGAAACCATTTTTAAATAAAGATTATGTCCCAACTGGTTATCCTGGGAGGGTGGAGTTGGGGGTGAGGAGAATGTTGAGGGATATATTGGTTAAGGGAGATTACAGAAGACGTATTTCCTGTGCTATAAACTTTGGTAATGTTTGAACTTGTTTTTAAAAGAAACATGATTTTTGATGGCAGGAAAAGAACCCCATTTTTGAGACAGAGTTTCACTCTTGTTGCCGAGGCTGGAGTGCAATGGCGTGATATCGGCTCACTGCAACCTCCGCCCCTGGGTTCAAGCAATTCTCCTGCCTCAGCCTCCCAAGTAGCTGGGGTTACAGGCACCTGCCACCATGCCTGGCTAAGTTTTGTATTTTTAGTAGAGATGGGGTTTCACCATGTTGGCCAGGCTGGTCTCGAACTCCAGACCTCAGGTGATCCACCAGCCTCAGCCTCCCAAAGTGCTGGGATTACAGGTGTGAGCCATCGCGCCCAGCCAGATTCTCGTTTTTTAACCACACACTTGAAAAGACCTAGGGTAACTTTGGTAATAATGAAATTATTACCTGAGAAGAATAAAGGTAATTTTGAAAATACTTCCTCAAAGGAGAAATTAGCTAAATGCATAAAACTGCTCACTGTAGTTAAATACCTATTGTAAAGAGAAACTGGAAAAACCTGAACATCTACATTACAATATGTTCAGACAGTCTCTCAATAGAATTTCATGTTGTCGACAAAAATGATAAACAGGAAGACTGGATAGTAAACACAAGGGAAATGCAGGGCAAAATACAGAACTATTTACTATAAAAAAAAGTATATGTGTAGATATGGACAGGGGAATATCGAAAGATGAATACACTTACTGTATTCAAATGGTTTGGGTGAATTTCCTTCTTTTAAACTTTCTTTTAATGGCTGTGTTTCTGTGTCCTATCCAGATTACTTGCTGCTATGTCTTTACCTCTCTCTTCTCCAACCTGTACATATGTGTTGTCAGATGGCTCAGGGGTTGACAGCCACATTCTTGACCTCAAGGCTTCTCTCACCCCTGTGCTTGCAGAGGGCTCAGGGGTGGCCTTAGACAGAGGCAAACGTCCCAGGACCCTGTGAGCTGGGAGAAAAAGGCAGGATACCAACCTGCTCTCAGGCTCCAGTCTGCAGCAGATGGCGGCCAGCGGGAAGAAGGCCGGGGGACAATCTGTGGGAACAAACTTCTCCCAGAAAAGCTTCACGTTGAGGCCAAAGTCCAGTGTTCGGGGAAGGCAGTCAGGATCTGCATACACCTGCCCAATGATCTGTAGGGTAAGAAGACAGCTGTTTACAAAGGACTACAGAGGCCACAGATACTTGGCAAGGGAAAGGGATGCTGGGATGTGGACAGGAAGAATGGCAGAAGAGGAGGTGGTAAAATAGGTTAGAGAGCTCTCCCCAATCCCCAATCATCTCTCCAAATCTTACTAATCCAGACCTGTATCCACTGAGAGCTGGGTTACTGAAGAGGACTAAGAAGGGGCTTCACTGCAGAAGCCAAGTGTTCCAAATCAGCATCTGCTCCTAGCTTCCACTCATCCTACCCTGCCTTGTCTGTGTCTCCTTGTGGCTGTGTGTGTGTGCCAGAGTTAAGGCTCTATGAGGTGCTGGATCTGATTCATGTCTGAAACCCTCTGGCACCAGCCCAGTGCTCTGAACAGAGGTGTTCAATTAATATTAAAGAAAACAATTTTTTAAAACAAATCTTCCTTCATGGCCAGGCACGGTAGCTCATGCCTGTAATCTCAGCACTTTGGGAGGCTGAAGCGGGTGGATCACCTGAGGTCAGGCATTTGAGACCAGCCTGGCCAATATGGCGAAACCCTGTCTCTACTGAAAATACAAAAATTAGCCAGGCGTGGTGGCGCACACCTGTAGTCCCAGCTACTTGGGAGGCTGAGGCAGGAGGATTGCTTGAACCTGGGAGGCGGAGGCTGCAGTGAGCCAAGATTGCACCTCTGCACTCCAGCCTGGGTGACAGAGTGAAACTCCATCTCAAAAACAAAAACAAAAACAAAACATTCCTTCATTATCCTAACCATCCCTTGTCTCTCCTCTCCTCTACCCCTCACAACTTTGTAGGAATTACAGAAGGCTTTGAATGTGTGTGTGTTTGAGTCGCTGAGATATGCTGTCACCTGACTAAACTCCTAAAGGTAGGAATCTTTCCAAGATTCCTCACTCTGTCCACGTGGTACCTGGCACAGGGCTGACACTTCCTAGAGTGGCTACTTCTACTTGAAGGGAACTGAGAAGGGCTACATTTGGCCCAAGAGCTAGCTAGACAGCCACATGAACAGTCTCTTGCCCTTCCTTCTGGAATTCTGAGTCTCATCTGCCCCTTATCGACCATGTGCAAGCCACTGCCCTCTTCCAAGCCTCAGTTTCCTCAACTAAAAAAAAAAAAAAAAAAACCTGGCCGGGCGAGGTAGCTCACGCCTATTAATTCCAGCACTTTTAGAGGCTGAGGCAGGCGGATCACCTGAGGTCCGGAGTTCAAGACCAGCCTGGCCAACATGGTGAAACCCTGTCTCTACTAAAAATACAAAAATTAGCCGGGCATGGTGGTGTGTGCCGGTAGTCCCAGCTACTTGGGAGGCTGAGGCAGGAGAATCACTTGAACCCAGAAGGCAGAGGTTGCAGTGAGCCCAGATTGTGCCACTGCACTCCAGCCTGGGCAACGAAGTGAGGCTCCATCTAAAACAAAAAAACCCTGCCAGTCCTTCTCTTAAGACCAATGAAACACGAACGTGGCAAAGATGTGCAGATGCGTTATAAACCATAAAACCCTACACCCATGTTGATTTTAGTCAAGCTAGTCATCCCTAGGAGGAGATGCCCCAGTTCCGAGGGAAGGCAGAGCTGCTAGGCCTGCTGCCTCGGGCATGGCCTTGGTGCCAGAGCTCACCTCACAGAGAACGATCCCAAAGGAGAAGATATCCACCGTCTCATCATAGCTCTTTCCTTGGGGAACACAGGAGAGCACACTGTTAAGTTTACATCCCTTACCTGCTCTGCACTGGGTCTAGGGTCAATCTAAGCCACAGCTAAGAACTAGGGCTAGAACAGGTTCTGTAGGGACACCCCACAGGCTGTCCTGCGCAGACACCACCTGAAAATAGTCCTTCCTCAGCTGTAGGTGAACTGCCTTGGAGAGCCCTTATAACATAACACTGCCTAGGATGAAACTGCACGTTAAAGTGGAAAAGAACCAGACTAGGGTTCATCTAGCCTCTGCCATTAGGCAGCTGTATGCTCCTAGGCAATTCACTGAACTTCTCTGGGCCTCAGACTCCAAAATGGATTGTATTCAGACCATTTCTGAGGCCTCACAACCCTGATTTCAAGAATCCCAACCAGCATCTCTGGTTGGTTTGAGCATTATCCACCAGAGGGCACCACACTTCAGTTCTCACCATGGAGAGAGAAGGCTAAAGCTGGGACAATAGCCTGAGCTCTTAGCGATCCCTGAGGCACAAATGCCACAGTCAGAACTCACCTTATCCCCCATGATGGGACACTGATCAGTTCCCAGCCCCCTGAGCTCAGGAGCTAAATCGTGAGGCCCCACCTGGCAAGGGAAAAATATCCTCAGCTCTGGGTATCCGGTCCTACGCTTCACAGGCCTCCCCTGGAATTCCCAGGGCTCTGATGCAAGGGCAGCATCTGTCCTCCCTCTGCGGGTGTCCCCTCCAGGGCTTCAGGACTCACCGTTCAGCATCTCAGGGGCCATCCAGTAGGGGTTTCCCACCACCGTGTAGCGCTTCTTGCGGTCGTTCTTGCGCAAGGTGCGTTTCTTGGTGGTGGCCTTCTCCATGGGGGCCCTTTTCCTCTCTTCCACTATGAGCCGTGACAGCCCAAAGTCTGCCACCACCACAGTCTTGTCCTGGTAGGATAAAAGACAGGTCAGGACTTCATGGGGATGTTCTCAAACCTGGCCCTGGGGAGGAAGCATAGGCAAGAGAAGCCACTGAGAAGGGGAGAAAAGGTGTATAGCAAGGGAGAATCAGAGCAGAAAGCTCTATCAAATAGACACACTCAGGCCAGGCACGGTGGCTTCCACCTGTAATCCCAGAACTTTGGGAGGCCAAGGCGGGTGAATCACCTGAGGTCAGGAGTTCAAGACCAGCCTGGCCAACATGGCAAAACCCCGTCTCTACTAAAAATACAAAAAAAAAAAAAAAAAAATTAGCTGGGCGTGGTGGCACACGCCTGTAGTCCTAGCTACTTGGGAGGCTGAAGCAGAAGAATCACTAGAACCCGGGAGGTAGAGGCTGCAGTAAGCCAAGATTGCACCACTGCACTCCAGCCTGGGAAACAGAATGAGACTCCATCTAAAAAACAAAACAAAACAAAACAAAAAAACAGACACACTTGGCATTTGTGTTTCTGAGGGTCTGGTATCTGTGCACAGCAGACTCCCAGCCCACAGTGGGTTCATGGCAGAGCCACTGGAGCCCTGGAGGTGAGGCTCAGGGACTTGGAGAGTGGAACTCAGAGGTGGGACAGGGGGTTGCTTTTGTTTTTCCCTGTCCTGTCTTATTCCTAAAATGATTTCAGGCAGTGGCTAGAACCAGGATAAGACAGAAAAAGGCAAGGTGGAGGCAGTAGATGGGGAGACTTGGGGGAGACAAGCTCTTTGAATAGCTACAGGGCAGTCATGTGGGAAAGGAATGAAGATTGCGTGGTGTGGGTCTAGAGGGCAGAGCCAGGGCCAGCCGGTAGACACCCAGGAAGCCAGATAGCAAGTCAGTAAGACAAACAACATTGTAACCACCACAGCTGAGGGGCAGTGGGAGGAATGCTGGTCTCAAACTGGTCCCTGTAAATTTACTAGCTCGGTGGCCTCAGGCTGAGGCTTCAGGTGCCACCACTGTAAAATGGGGTCAGCAATGAACTGTTTTACAAGACTACTATGGGGCAAAAGCAGGTAAAATGACAGGGTTTTCTACATATAGTCAACAAACTTCTGAAGTCCCTTCTAATCAAATTATTTCAAAGGTTGCTAATGAGAGAAGGTGAAATTATGTCTGTGTGTGTCTCGGAGCTCCCAGAGGACAGAGAAGGGCATTGGAAGAAGCAGGAAGGGAAAGATAGGAGCTCCTAGGCAACACCTCTGCCCTCTAGCCAGAGGGGACAAGTCAGCCTCCTTTGTGACAAGGAAGCCAGGAAGGATAGGACCCTGGAGGCCAGGCCCAGAGCAGTGGGACATACCAACTTGATGAGGCAGTTGTGCGAGTTCAGATCCCGGTGGATGATGCACATAGAGTGCAAATAGGCCTGGAACAGAAGCATGAGCTGAGGCTACAGGGCCAGCAAATCAACTAGACCCTGAATCTGGAATTGGGCGCCATAGATGCTCTCCTACCAGGCCATGCCCACCCAGCTTCAGAACCCAACCTGGACAACAGGGCCAGGGCCTCCTATGGCCTCTCCCTTGTCCCAATACCAACAGGAAGCCTGGACTTCCTCTGCTTCCCTGCTGCCATCTCCTGCCCATCCTTTGGTTCACCAATCACTAGCACAGTGGCTGGCCAAAGCCCTCACAGCTCTCTCCTAATGTCCCCAACTTCAGAAAACCCTGGCCGTTGCAGCACCCCCTCCACCTCTACCCATTTTACTTAGATCCAGGCTGCTCCCTCCTCCCCACTCTCCCAATCTCTGGCTTGAGCCACTTTGGATCCTTCCTGCCTGCAACAGAGAAGTGACTTCTTGCTCCAGCTAGCTCTGTCTTTCAGACATTCACCTCCTCTAAGACTCCACCTTCCCCACTGTCTAAACTTTAAGCTCTCCCCCTTCCTACCAAAATGTTTGTCAACAAATTTGTTTGTTATGTCTCCTCTCCAGGCCTCCACCACTGACTCTTACCACTCTCAGGAGCAACTTCCTTTCTCCTTCCCTTGCAAATGTAGAAGGAGCCACTCCTTGCTCTCCAGCCCCCTGCAATACTACTTTCATCCCTTAGGCTCCTGGAGCTGCTCACACACCCAGGGAGCTCTTCCTGAATCGCTATAGCTCATGACCTGCCTGCCTGCCTGCCTGAGGGAGTGCTCCTCAAAGACTGTCCACAACTTTCCTATGCTACCTGATCCTGAGACTCTTGTGTGTCTGTTTTTTTCTTCCAGCCTTTTCAGTGTCAGCCCTGCTCAAAGCCATCTCCTCTTCACAAGCTGAGACACCCCCACCAGCTACATGGATGCCTCTTCTGTCCCACAGCTCCAGCTGCCCCTTCTCTGCAGATTAGGTGACTAGCAGCCTCTCCCTAAGCCAGTCTCATGGAGCCAGTTTCCTGCCCAGAAGATGCTGATAGGTTCTGCTAGCACAGAACAGCAGGGATCAATGCTAGCTCTTCCCAAACCAGTTGCTCAACAATCATGGCTATCCCCCATCCCCCAAATGTCTGGTAAGTGACACCTCAAGCCACTCGTAACTCCTCCTCCTCCTCCTCCTGTTCCCTCATTGCCAACCAGTCTCTCCATTCTGACTCCACCCGGCCTCCCAGGCTCCTGTCCCCACAGCCACTACCTTAATTCAGAAATTTGAAATGTTTCATTAGCCCCCTATGCAGGGCTCCATTCCCTGGACCCTCCGCATTCCACCCCAATGTACTAACCATATCAGTCTCTCTTTTTTTTTTTTTTTGAGATGAAGTCTCACTCTGTCACCCAGGCTGGAATGCAGTGGTGTGATCTTGGCTCACTGCAACTTCTGCCTCCCAGGTTCAAGCTATTCTCCTGCCTCGGCCTCCTGAGTAGCTGGGACTACAGGCGTGCACCACCACGCCCAGCTAATTTTTGCATTTTTTTCTTTAGTAGAAACAGGGTTTCACCAGTTGGCCAGGCTGGTCTCAAACTCCTGACCTCAAGTGATCCACTCACCTCGGCCTCCCAAAAAAGTGCTGGGATTACAGGCATGAGCCACTGTGCCAGCCCAGACTCATTTTGGAAAAACCACAGCTCTTAAGCTTTCTTGCTTAAAAATCTTTTCCTGCCGGGCATGGTGGCTCACAACTGTAATCCCAACACTTTGGGAGGGCGAGGCAGGAGGAATGCTTGAGCCCAGGAGTTTGAGATCAGCCTGGGCAACAAAGTGAGAACCTGTCTCTACCAAAAAAAAAAAAAAAAAAAAAGAAAAAAAAATTCAAAAAATTAGGTGTGGTGGTACACACCTGTAGTCCAGCTACTTGGGAGGCTAAGGCAGGAGGATTGCTTGAGCCCAGGAGGTCGAAGCTGTAGTGAGCCATGATCGTGCCACTGCACTCCAGTCTGGGCAACAGAGCAATATCCTTTCTCAAAACAACAACAACAAAAAAACCTCCTTCCTGATTCAAGCCCCAGAAACAGGAAAAAAAAACAAAAAAACAAACAAACAAACAAACAAAAAAACCAAAAAGCCAGTCAACCAAAAAACTCTTTTACATTTGTCTCCTATAGTCCAGACTCCATAGCTTAAAACACAGCGACCTTGATGTACCCCCAAACTGTTCCAGACTACTACTATTTTCATGGACCCCCATGTGAAGGGCAGTGGCTAAAGTCTCAGGCTTGGCGACCAGACTGATTAGCCCAGGATCCCAGCTCTGTCCCTTTCCAGTCCAGCTTATCTGGAAACCAAGGTTGTCATGAGGAATAAACATGCACATGCATGTTAATCCCTCAGCCCAGTGCCTAGCATATAGAGGGCACTCAGTACTTGTCAGCTGTTATTATTTCTATGCTTGGAATCATTTGTTTCCAGGTGAAATAGATGATTTTCTCCTCTTTCCTCCCAGGTCTTTGCTCCTGTCACTTCAATCCTGGTGCCTCTCTGCCAATAAGAACTTTATCCAATTCTGATCCTTCAGGGCTCCGCTAGAACTCATTTCCCCTTCATTGATTTCCTAGGCAGTGAGGTGCTCTAGTTGGTCTAAGGGCCCTCAGCACCTGAATACCTGTGATGGCAAGCCCAGGCCATCTCAGGCTACAGTTTGCCTCTCCAGTTTGCCTTGTCCGTGCCCTGTTTGCCTTTAGAGATGTGTAATTCTTTGAAAACAGGGCTGTGAACTGAGAACAGTTGGCTGGGGTCAGTTTCAGTGACACAGACAAACTCAATGAATAGCTGCTGACCCAGCCCACACAAGTTGCATAGGAAGGGGTCTCTACCTTCCAGTGAAGCCCACAATTCTCACACCTCTCCCTACTCTCGCCCTGCTGGCAGGTTTGTTGGTGGGACTCACCATTCCGGAGGCGATTCCTTTGGCAAACCTGACCTTCTGCTGCCAGGGGAACGGATCCTGCAGAATGGGGAATGATTTTCAGAGGCTGTTGAGCCCTGTCCCACTCGTGGTCCAGGCCCCATGGGTCAATGTGGTCTCCCAGTGAAGCCTCCCTGTGTATGCTCAGTCCCACCCAGCATGGTCCTTTGGAGGCAAAGCAGGGCCCCTCTGCCCTTTAAGCTCCTAGGGTAGTGATAGCATAGGTGTCTGACAACCCACCAAGGCTCCTGGAGACTATGGGGTGGTGTGCTCACCATACTGCGCAGAAAGTCCTTCAGTGTGCCCCCCTCAATGTACTCTGTCAGGAGGTTCAGCTTCTTATCCTTGTACAGCACACCAATGAACTTGAGCACATTGGGGTGGTCCAGGCTGCGCATCACTTTCACCTGGGGGTGGGGGAAGCCAAGGAAAGCTGGTGGTTAACTTCTCACTGTCTTCCTTACCTCTTCCCTCCAAGGAATCAGCTTGACAAGTGTTACCACCTGTATCTCCTACCTCCTATCTTGTGATATGACAGGGCACTAAGATCAGGATGAGGGAAGACCACCACCATATAGATGGAGATGGCTTCATAGGCCTTACCCTTGGAACTGCATTGGGAGAACTGGGGTGGGAGTGGCCAAGTGGCTTGGAGGGCAATACCCAGACCACAGGTGTCCCCAACTTAAGTTACTCCATGAAGTAACTTGGGAGGGGTAGTGAAAACTGTAAATGCCCAAGGAGTGTGAGTGCTCAGGGAGCTCCCCTCCAGGCTCCCTTAGCAGGGCGTTCAGGTGAGGATTATAACATTGAGTTGTACTAAATTGGAGTGTTTTCATGTCCATCATCCTCATAACCTGAGAGCTCTTCTGAACCCTGTATCTTTTGTTACTGCATCCCTTGTACCCTGTTTGTGTTGCTTTTAGTAAGTGTTCATTGAACAAATAATTACGCTGTAATTTAGAGGGAGTGGGATATTCCTCTAGGGCTCTTTTCTGCTTAGTCTTTAAGACAGTAATTCCAAACTGTATTTTCTCTTGAAGCCATTATTTGTAAGGTCTTCTCTCTTCCAATGGTGACACCAACCTCCCGGGCCCCCTCCATCTTCTTACCTCAGTCAGAAAAGTTTTCTGGGTCTCCTCATCACATCGAATTAACTCTTTCATGACCATCACTTTGCCCGTGGCTTTGTGTGTCACCTACAGGGAGGGTGACTGTTAATGGTGCTGAGACCAGAGGAAGTTCTGGAGAACTGTTTGAGAAAATCTATGCAGCTGGCCATCCCATCCCTTGGAGGGCACACTGAGCCGGGTCAGAATGACAGAGTTCATGTGTGGAAGATGCAGCGTGGAGCAACATGGGACTCACACGGAAGCAAACCCTCTTTCCTGGAGAGCTGGGCATGCACAGAGGACAGGCAAGAACCCAGAAAAGGGAAGTGGGGAAGAAGGCAGGAGGGGATGCTGCCAAGCCAAGCAGGGGCTCTGGTCATTTGGCATAGAAGTGAGTCTCCTGAGTGAACAGAAGTCTGGGGGCAGGAAGGTCAGTGCCAAAGACATGCACCAGGGAGCTGGGTGGATCGGGGGTGAGCTCTCCAGCCCTGCTGCCCCCAAGCTGAGACACACGTCTTACCTGACCCCCCCTCCCAGTTCTCAGCAGAAGAGGAGGAGGAGGAGAGAAAGAGAGAGGTTAGTCCCTGAGACTGTTCACCAGGGAGGCAGGAGCCATTCCCCTGTGTGCTCCTTGTAGCATGCCCGGTACTGAGGTCTGCAGGCACCTAACAAACACCCACTGACTGGAGGCAGGAGGGCCACAGGCACAGCTCAACCCAACCTGGATCTCCAGGTCCACAAGCTCACTGTAACAGCAACATTGACCTTAGGTGGCCTGGGTGGGGGTGAAGGATACCTCTCACACCAACACCCAAAGCCAGGAAGGAGGCCTGGCATCCTGCATGGTGTGGGGTGGGGCCAAGTGATGAGAAATCCCCGAAAGACAGTGACAGAGGGACTGGGGGCAGAAGAGCAAAGCAATTGTTGCCTGCGCTCACCTTGATAGCCTGCCCAAAGAAGCCCTTCCCCAGGACCTCCCCATGGATTAGGTCACAGGGCCGGAAGATCTGCTGTGAATAGCTGCTGGAACAACGAAGGGATTCTGAGCGGCTGATGTCACGGCTGAACAGCAGGGGCTCCTTTGGGGAGCTGGGGCCAGGGGACTTGGAGATACTGTTACTGCGCCTGAAGATGAGGAAAGACGGGAGTAGGGATGTGTAGTCCTCAGAGACCGGCCAAGAAACCCTGGAGGGAGGAAACTTAGGGGCACCTGTTCATTCCAATGTCTATAGTTTAGATGTTATTATTGGGGAACAGGGGCTCTTACATCAGATGTATCATTTTGGGGTTGCTGACATCAGTCATTTATTTAAGCATAGTAAAAACACATTCAAAATGGGAACTCTGCATACATCACACATAGAACAATTAACTAGATTCTACTAGCTGATAATGCTCAGTATGTGACATATATGACAACACTGTAGATGGTAATTCACCATCTCCCATATCTGCTTGATTTAAGTACTAACTGGTTTAGAGTGATAGTTATACTAGTATCCAAAAAATGAGCAAATGGGATTTTTTTTTTTTGAGACAGAGTCTCGCTCTGTCAACCAGGCTGGAGTGCAGTGGTGTGATCTTGGCTCACTGCAACCTCTGTCTCCCTAGTTCACCTGAGTCTCATGCCTCCGCCTCCTGAGTAACTGGGACTACAGGCATGTGCCACCAGGCCCGGCTAGTTATTGTTATTATTATTATTTTTGAGACAGAGTCTCGCTCTGTCGCCCAGGCTGAAGTGCAATGGCACGATCTCGGCTCACTGCGACCTCCGCCTTCCAGGTTCAAGCGATTCTCCTGCCTCAGCCTCCCAAGTAGCTGGGAGTATAGGTGCACGCCACCACGCCCGGCTAATTTTTTTTTTTTTTTTTTTTTTTTTGATGGAGTCTCACTCTGTCGCCCAGGCTGGAGTGCAACGGCGGGATCTCCACTCACTGCAACCTCTGCCTCCCAGGTTCAAGAGATTCTCCTGCCTCAGCCTCCCAAGTAGCTGGGATTACAGGCGTGTGCCACCACAACCGAATAATTTTTGTATTTTTTTAGTAGAGATGGGGTTTCACCATGTTGGCTAGGTTGGTCTCGAACTCCTGATCTCGCGATCCATCTGTCTCGGCCTCCCTAAGTGCTGGGATTACAGGCGTGAGCCACCACACCCGGCCCTAATTTTTGTATTTTTAGTAGAGATGGGGTTTCACCATATTGGCCAGGCTAGTCTCAAACTCCTGACCTTGTGATTCGCCCACCTCGGCCTCCCAAAGTGCTGGGATTATAGGCGTGAGCCACTGCGCCCAGCCTAATTATTGTATTTTTAGTAGAGATAGGGTTTCACCATGTTGGCCAGGCTGGTCTCAAACTCCTGACCTCAAGTGATTTGCCCGCCTCGGCCTCCCAATGTGCTGGGATTACAGGCGTGAGCCACCGTGCCTGGCCAGCAAATGGGATTTTGGATGATATTTTGCACATCTTTGTACCTGTCCATGTTTCCTGAATTTTAAGATGATAAACACGTATGATTTTTACAGCAATAAAGTCACTATGTTTACATTTTCAAAAGCGGTCGATAATAGTCATGGTCAATGACTGTTATTTTCACTTACTGAAGAAGGAACAAGAAGGTTGAAGTCCACAGCACTGCAGGTGAACAGCCCTGCGAACTTTCTCTCTGGGGTATGCTCCTGCTTTACTTGGGCTACCCAGAGAGGACTGACGCTGGATGGCTCTTGGCTTGTCCCGACCTACAGGTTTACTTACCCTTGTCCTTTTGCTCTGCCTCCTGCTGACCATGCCCACCAGAGCACACAAGGCTAGCTGCCCCCCTCCTCTGCATGGTGGCTCTACAGATACCTGGCCACTCCCAAATCTTCCCTTTTCCAGGCCATGGATTTCTAGCTCTTCCCTGCCCTCTGTTGCCCTGCCTCCCACTAATTTCATCATACTGACCAAGGCCAAGAGGCAATGGGAGTGAGGGCAGCACTTTAATGAGAGGGCACTGTTTCCAACACATGCCAGCTGAGAGGGCTCTAACTTACTCAGTTTGTTTGGTGAGGAGAGTGGATAAAAAAAAACAAACTTTTTTTTTTGGAGACAAGGTCTCACTCTGTTGCCCAAGCTGTAGTACAGTGGTGTGATCAAGGCTCACTGCAGTCTTGAACTCCTGGGCTCAGGCAATCCTCCTCCTCAGCCTCTTGAGTAGCTGGGATTACAGGCATGTGCCACCATGCCCAGTTAAGTTTTTTATTCTTTGTAGAGACAGGAATGTGGCCCAGGCTGCTCCTGAACTCCTGGCCTCAAGCAATCCTCCGGCCTTGGCCTCCCAAAGTGCTGGGATTACAGGTGTGAGCCACAGTGCCCTGCCCATCTAATTAAAAACAATTATTATTATTATTTTTTTTTTGTAGAGACAGTGTCTCACTATGTTGCTCAGGCTGGTCTCAAACTCCTGTGTTCAAGCCATCCTCCGACCTAGGCCTCCCAGAGTGTTGGGATTACAGGCATGAGCCACGGTGCCTGGCCAAGAACCTGATTCTTAGTGATACTAAGAATGTGTCACGTTTACTGAACACTGTCCCTATGGCAGCACTATACAACTTTATGTCCTTTTCCACATTTAATCCTTACATAATTGGTGAGACAGCCACCTTTATCTTACCATCTTATGTCACAGATGCAGAAACAGGCTCAGAGAGATGAAGTGATTTGTGAAGGGAGGAGCTCAGCCTGAAGCCCCAGTAGGGTATCAGTATTTCTGCCTGGGAGCCAGTGCTCTTGACTTCTTTTCTGTAAGTCTCCCTACTTGGGGCTTCCACTCAAGGCAACTTCTCCTTCCCCATGGACCTGGCAGAATCTGGGGTTTGGGGGTTGTTGGTCCCTCAAGTCTAAAAAAAACGTTCATTCATCTTTTGCTTTATTGTTTTCAAAGTCTTTCTACACAATTTATTCAATCCTATCTGTGCCCCTACTCCAGGCTCTGAGCTCCATGCTTTCTCCATAGGCCATGTTGCCCTTCAGGGTTTAGCATCACTGCCTCCTGTCCAGCTTAGGAGTTCAGTGGACAGAGACTGACTCTCAGGTTTCTAAGGAAACCTGGCAGACAGCTGGGTCCGCACAGGCTCTGGCTGTAAACTGTGATCCCCACAGGGGCAGCTGGGTCAGCACAATCCTCATAGTCTGTCCCTGGCCAGCTGGTTCCTTTCCTAACTCTGCAGGCTTCTGAAAGCCAGCTCAGCTTCATCCGAGAGACAGACATAGGACAGAACAGAGCCAGGGTGGGAGGTGGCACCTTAGGGAACGTCTCCTCAGTGTCCCCTCCAGATTCTCCTTGGTGTCCAGGGTGCTGAGGGCGTGGGGGTGTCCGGCATTCTGCATGTGAGGAGCGAGCCGGGCCTCCAGCCGCAGCTGGTCCAGGCGTTGGGAGACGGGGTCATGTTCAATCAACAGCTGAAGTGTCTGGCTCGTCTGGCTAATTGCATCCTCCACCTGTGGCCAAGAGCAGTATAAAGCTCCCACAGGCTGCCCCATCCCAGGCCACCCATGGCCAACCCAGATGACTCAGGCACAGTGTGGCCAGTGCTCAACTTGTCTAATGGTGGCCTTTAGCTGCCAGTGGCCTCACAGTGCCCTCTGCCTGGCATCCTGTCAGCTCTCCCGTCCATCAACCATCCCTGCTACCCTGGGAACCTGTTACGCTGAAATAGGTCACCAGTGGTCACAGGCTCAATGCTAAGACAAAGAGATGGGCTGGGGGTAGGAAAAGGTAAAGGCTACAGCCTGATTTCTCAGAGGATCTGTTCCATGTCCCACCCTCACAAGACAGATTAGACACACACTCTACCTCCTCCACTCGAAGTGTGCGGACGGGGGTCCCATTGATCTCCAGGATGCGGTCCCCAGGGTGGATGGCGTTTCGATTGTTGGGACTGATGTGCATCCGGTTGACCCTGGGCCAGACAAGAGTTGAGGCAGGGTAAAGATGTCCTAAAAACCTGCTTGACCAATTCTGCTTGTGCAGGGAAGGTTTACCAGGTCCCAGGCCACCAGTGGCCCCTAAGGGGCCCAGGATACCCACACAGAAAGGCAACACCTTTTCCAGGATGCCCCATCTCAGTGAAGGGAATTGCCACTCACCCTGTGGCCTAAGCCAGAAACTTGAACATCATCTTCCCAATCTGGAGTTCCCTCATCTCTCCTACTCCCATCTCTAAGAACTCTGCCTTCTTTCCATCATTGTAGTTATTCACATCTCTTACCTGGATCACGGTAATAGCTTCTATTTTTTTTTTAAACTTTGTTTTTAATTTTTATTTGAGATGGCATCTTACTCTGTCATCCAGGCTGGAGTGCAGTGGCATGATCTGGGCTCACTGCAACCTCCACCTCCCAGGCTCAAGCAATTCTCATGCCTCAGCCTCCTGAGTAACTGGGATTACAGGCGCGCACCACCATACCCAGCTAATTTTTTTGTACTTTTTGTAGAGATGGGGTTTTGCCATGTTGGCCAGGCTAATCCCAAACTCTTTTTTTTTTTTGAGATGGAGTCTCGCTCTGTCGCTCAGGCTGGAGTGCAGTGGCGTGATCTCTGCTCACAGCAAGCTCCGCCTCCTAGGTTCATGCCATTCTCCTGCCTCAGCCTCCCGAGTAGCTGGGACTACAGGCGTCCGCCACCATGCCCGGCTAATTTTTGTACTTTTAGTAGAGACGGGGTTTCATTGTGTTAGCCAGGATGGTCTTGATCTCCTGACCTTGTGATCCGCCCACCTCGGCCTCCCAAAGTGCTGGGATTACAGGCGTGAGCCACTGCGCCTGGCCTAATCCCAAACTCTTGACCTCAAGCAATCTGCCCACCTTGGCCTCCCAAAGTGCTGGCATTACAGGCGTGAGCCACTATGTCTACGTCTGGACTTTTCTTTTAATTAAGAAAAACAGAGACGGGGTCTTGCTATGTTGGCCAGGTTGGTCTTCAACTCCTGGCCTCAAGCAATCCTCCCACCTCAGCCTCCCAAAGTGCTGAGATTACAGGCATGAACCACCATGCCCAGCCTACAATAGCTTCCTAACTAGTCTCTATACCTTTAGGCTTTCCCCTCTCCAATCCAACCTCCATACCAGTGATCCTTCTAAAATGTTAACTTGGTCACAACACCTTGCTGCTTAAACTCTCAATGGATCTGCTGGATTTTCATAATCCAGGCCCTCTATACTTAACAGCCCCTTTTCTGGCCACACTCAACCTACATCAGACATGATTAAGACTCCTACTTTTGGAGAAATGCTTCTCCCTCTGCCCTGAACACAATTCCCTCTCCTCTTCATCTAATAAGGTTGTAGAACAGACCTTAGCTCCTCCTGACTTCCCAAACTCTAGTATCTTTCACCTGCTGTGCAAGCACTAGCCTAGTGTCCAACACATGGTAGATACACAATCAATATTTACATGGTAAGCGGCCAGAGGTACGACATTACTGGTATTAGATAGACACAGACTCTTTCTCCATCTGGTCTCTGGCCTGAATCTAGGATAGGGTCTTAACTTCTTTTGGGCCATGGACCACATTTTCTCCATTCATTCTCTCGACTGACAAAATAATAATCAATCAACTCCTACTATATGCCAGGTACTCTTCCAAGCCCTGGGCATGCAGCACTGAATAAGACAGCAAGTTTCTTCTGGAATTTACATTCTAGTGGAGGGGATAGAAGATAAACAACTAATACACATAATCAAGCCAGATGATTTCAAAGAGCAAACATGACCTGAAACCTGACACCTGAAAGGTGAGTGATTCTTGCCTTAAGTATCGGGTAGGAAGTAGCCTGGGCAGAGAGAACAGTAAGTGCCAAGGCCCAGGTACGGTTACAGCATAGTGGGGTCCAGGAGAAAGATATGAGATGAGAATAAAGGGAGTTCTGCATGAGACTTTGGAGGTCTAAGCCCTCTGAGGCCCATTTACAGACTCTGCTCAAGAACCCCTGCTGAAGGGTTCTCAAAATACTTACTCTTTCACTTGCACAGTGGTGGCGTAGTTGGAGCAGGCACTCTCCACGGACACGGAGAAGCCCCGCCTGCCTTCAGTGGTGGCCGGCATGGAGATGAGCGTGACAGAGTAGGGCAGCTGCTCCTGAACAGACTCTGTGGAGAGTCTCTCAAACATGGGTGCCAGCACCACCTCATTGTGGCACTTCCCACTGGGGAGAGGGCACAGGGGGGAATAAGATGCTAGAGTCCCACACAGAAGCCCCCCAGCAACCACTGCACCATGTGGCTTTAAGCAACAGTACCCATAGTCTCACTACCACCCTCTTTGTCATGATTCTAGCTGGCTGCTCAGAATGAGGAGCCTGGGTTCTCAGGGTGGGCTGGGACTGGGGGTGCTGAGCTAGATCTGCAGCAAGTGGTATATTTGGAAAAACACTGGCCTGGGTTGGGGTGAGATGGTCTGGGTTCTCTTCACTCTACCTTTGACTCACAATGAGAACCTTGCCCTTGTACTATTCTATTCCATGGGCCCCAGGCTGACTTCTTTTATCAACCAAGGTGGTTGGACAGGGTGAGCTCTAAGGGGTCTTTGACTTTAATGTTCTGGGATCGTCCTTGAAGAGTGCCTCCCACTGGGAGGATTGCAGGGCAGAGTGAAGACATTTTCAAGGTTGGTAAGGAAAAAGGGTAGAGACATGTGTAAATCATTCTGCTTACAAGTTAAAGAGCTGGTTAAGAGCACTGCTGTGGTAAGAATCCAATGCTCTGACTACCCTAACACTCCTTCTGCCCAACTCACCCTGCCACTGTCCCTCCCCGCCAGCCACTCTTATATGGGAGAGGATAGACAAAGGACCACTATCTTACCAGTAGAGGGTGGCATGCTGCACCAGTGCATATGCATCCCCATCCTCAATGATCACCTTGCAGCTCATACAGGCAAAGCACTCTGGGTGGTACTTGAACTCCCCAGCCACCTGTGAGCAGGTGGGGAGAAGGGTGTACAAAGGGAGGAAGGAAGTGAGTTATCACTGTTGCTGGAGTGAGGACAGGGGTGGGTGAATGACCTCCAAGCAAGGCCCCCGTCAAAATCCACTCTTTCACTCTCTGCCCTAGAGCTTCCAAAGGAAGTGTCAGATTGGTACCTCCTGTCATTTCTGAGACTGCACAAAACTGTTTTGGTCTCAGTTATGAGAAGAAATCCCCAGAAGTAATCATCCCCACTAAAAAAGATCAGTTCTTCCAATACAGGGTTGGCAAGTCTGTCACTATGCTTAAAGTCGTTTGTCCAGAGCAGGTATAGGAGGTAGCCCCTCTCTCTGCCAGCCTATTCCAGAGTCTCCTTTTCTGATTCCCTAAAGACAACCTAAGTATATCCTCCTCTCAGCCTGTAACACTCTCCTTGGAGGTCCTTATCCAACTATATTGTGTCTCCTCTCTGCCTGCCTCTCCTCCCACTCCCAACGTTCAACTATTAAGTCTTTGAGGGAAGGATCTTACCTTTCACTTAGTAGGTGCTCAATTGATACCTGCTAGTTGAATGAATGAATAAATAAAGGGAGATGCCCTGGCTGATGGAAAGACTAAAAGATTAACAGGCCACAGGGAACTGGAAGCACTGTCAATGGACTCTGAAGACCAAGAGGGGCAGATATGAAGGGATTCACTCACCATAAAAGGCCCTGTCATCAGCAGGGAGCACCCATGACAGAACTCCCCAAACTTCCCCCAGTAGTCCTTGGGGCAGTAGAGCTTCCCATCCTTCTCATAGTACCAGTTGGTGAGGGAATCCTGGCATTCTGAACACCTGAAAGGCAAGACAAGAACTGAAATTCTCCTGGATCCCTGGAACCAGGCCACATAAGCTGTCCCTGGTTCCTAGGTATGACAACAAAATGGACAGTCCTCTTTGATCCAAAGCCAAGATGGGGCAAAGTTACAGCCTTGTGCTATCTCCCCAAGGGAAGCTGGTTCAGACTGAACAAGGCCCCAGAAACCAGCTCTGTGTTGCCTGCCTCAGTGGACAGACTAGTGTTTCATAACCTCTTTGGGTCTTGGGGCCCTCTGAGAATTTGATAAAAGCCAAGAAGCCTCCCCTAGAAAAATGAATATATAAAGAAGATGTGTATATAATTTAGGTGGGGGACAGGGTGTATATATAAAGGATTCTCTGAAACCTATTTATGGCACCAGTTAAGGATCTCTGGTCTTGACAGATACTTCAATGAACAAAAGCAGTTTAATCATCTCCACTCTTCAAAACTGACCCATCACCAACAGCGTTACCAATGTAATGTTCTTGCCAAAAATACGTTAAGTATAAAAAAACTAATCAGGCAAATCTAGAATGTGGGTTATTCTATAAGAATAACCGGTCTTGACTCTTCTAAAAAGTCATGGGGAGAAGAAAAGGCACAGATTTTAAAAACCCTAGAGACACAGCAACCAAATACAATGCCTCAAACTTGGATTCAAATTTAGATTAAAAAAGGAAACAGCCATGAACATTTTTTGGAACAACTGAGGAAATATGGATTTGGACTATAATATTATATTGTAAAATTGCCGTGAATTTTCTTAGATGTAATGATATCTGACTTATATAGGAGAATTCTTAGCAGAAACATATTGAACTGTTCAAGGGTAAAATCAAGATGCCTTTAAGTTACTCTGAAATAGTTCAGCAAAAATAAATAAATAAAAGTATACAGATAGAGGGAGAGAGATATATACAAAGTGGCATAACATTAACAAATCATGAATCTATGTGAAAGGTATGTAGGTGTTCTTTGAACTACATTTTCAACTTTTCTATATATTTGAATTTTTTTTCAAAATAAAATATTGGGGAAGAAACCCAACATTCTATTAGCACTGTGTAAGATGTACATGTTAGATCCATAGCTCGCTGGGCGGGGTGGCTGATGCCTCTAATCCCAGCACTTTGGGAGGCTGAGGTGGGAGGATCACTTGAGCCCAGGAGTTCAAGACCAGCCTGGGCAACATAGTAAGACCCCGTCTCTAAAAAAAAAAAAAAAAAAAAAAAAAAAAAAAAAATCTATAGCTCCCTTCTCCCCTAATGACCTGGCTATGAAGCTCCACCTCTCAAAAGTCTGGTGTGTTCTCAGGACTTACCTGCACAGACAACCTCTTCCTCCCTTCTGAGCTTCCCAACACACACAGCTAAGAGCTCCCTGGCCTGCTGAGCCCATGCCATCTCTTTCCTTCTAGCTCCTTCTTTTCCCTATTCTTGTTGTCAAGGCCTTGCACCTTCCACAGTGGCCACATTCTTGCTTCCAAGAGGTTTGAACATTGCTTGGTTTGAATCTTGATCCTGCCACTTACTAGTTACATCATCTTGGGCAAGATATTTTACTTCTCTGGCCTAGTTTCCTCATCTATAAAATGAACTGCTGTGAAAATTAATGGAAATAATATGTATTAAAAATATAGAGAGCAGCTGGGCACAGTGGCTTATGCTTATAATCCCAGCACTTTGGGAGGCCGAGGCGGGTGGATCACTTGAAGTCAGGAGTTCGAGACCAGCCTGGCCAACATGGTGAAACCTGGTCTACTAAAAATACAAAAAATTAGCTGGGCGTGGTGGCATGCACCTATAATCCCAGCTACTCGGGAGGCTGAGGCAGGAGAATCACTGGAACCCAGGAGGTGGAGGTTGCAGTGAGTCGAGATCACGCCACTGCACTCCAGCCTGGGTGACAGAGTCAGACTCTGTCTCAAAAAACATTATAGCTAGCTAGCTAGCTAGCTAGAGATAGCTTATATAAAAGTCCTAATATAGGCAGGGCGCGGTGGCTCACACCTGTAATCCCAGCACTTTGGGAGGCTGAGGCGGGCAGATCACAAGGTCAGGAGTTCAAGACCAGCCTGGCCAACATGGTGAAACCCTGTCTCTACTAAAAATACAAAAATTAGCCGGGCGTGGTGGCGTGCACTGGTAGTCCCAGCTACTCAGGAGGCTGAGGCAGGAGAATCGCTTGAACCTGGGAAGCGGAGGTTGTGGTGACCCAAAATTGCACCACTGCACTCCAGCCTGGACAACAGAGCAAGATTCCGTCTCAAAAAAAAAAAAAAAAAAAAAAAAAAAAAAAAAAAAAAGACCCAATATAGTAGAAACTCAGTATGTGTTAACTTCTATTAAAGATGATGACAATGTAATGGCAGCTCACTTTATCAGCCACTTACTGTCACTAGCTGGACAACTTCTCTTAGTAGCTTTCTCTCATTGAAAATAACTAATAGCATCCTATTACTACAAAGAGCCAATGTGAAGAGGAAATAAGCTAATGTATGAGAGAAAGCCTTTTGCCAGGCAAGTGCATTATTATAACTTGCTAAGCACTGCAGATATAAAAGATAAATACACAGGGCACCCTACTTCACCTTTCATGAGCTTATGAAGAGTTGAGGAAGAGAAAGTCTAAATAAAACTCAACAATGCAAGGTGAGAGGCCACAGTGAGTTCTACTACTTCTGAGCACTGCGGGAGGTAGAGAAGAGGGGCAGGAATGAGTTGAAGCAGCTGAGCTAGGGAAGTCTAGAGAAGCAAGTCCCTGAGAATCCCTTTATCTTTCTGGAGTGCCCAATTCCTCCTGGGTGCTCAACAAACACTGATGGCTATTTTTACCCTATAGCTTTTCCTACTTGTCTTATGGAAGGGGAACTTCAGGGTCTTAAGGGCTGGGTATGGCATGAAGAGTATGGCTGTGAAGTGTCTCAAAACTGCACAGTGAGGTTGGAGGCAGAGGGGAAGACTGTTCTTGGTATGTGGCTCACACTCCTCTCAATATAAGATACATGTGGGATGAGCTCTAAATGAGGAGGAGAGAGATATGGGTTCAAGTTCTTGGGTGCTAAATTGCCTTGGACAAGCCCCTTTCCCTCTCTGGGTTGTTTCCCCACCTGTGAAACAAGAGGACAAACAATACCCTGGGTCCCCTTAACTCTGTGCATATCTGTGTTTTTCCCTAGATGATCTGAGGTTCTAATCTTAGCACCACCATTTACCACCTAAGTGATCTTGGGCTAGCCCCTTCACTTCTCATTTGTGAAATGGCAATGTCATCACCTACTTTCAAGGTAGCAGTGAGGATTTTTTCTTTTTTCTTTTTTTTTTTGAGATGGAATTTTGCTCTTATCGCCCAGGCTGGAGTGCAGTGGCACAATCTCGGCTCACTGCAACCTCTGCTTCCCGAGTTCAAGTGATTTTCCCACCTCAGCCTCCTGAGTAGCTGGGATTACTGGCGCATGCCACCACACCCGGCTAATTTTTCTATTTTTAGTAGAGACGGGGTTTCCCCATGTTGGTGAGGCTGGTCTCGAACTCCCGACCTCAAGTGATCTGCCCGCCTTGGCCTCCCGAAGTGCTGCGATTACAGGTGTGAGCCACTATGCCTGGCCTGCAGTGAGGATTAAATGTGGTTCTGAAGAACTATGGGGTGCCCAACAGAGGGCTGGCAGTAGGAGCAGGGGCTTCCTTCTTGCCTCCTGCCTTCTGACTTAGAAGTTCCTGGGCAACCATCTTTCTTCTTCACTAGACTGTTAGCTCCCTGAGGACAAAAACAGCATCCCACTTACTCTTGGTAGACTCAGCACCAAGCAAAGGACCTGGAAGAGCAAAGCCTTAACAAATATTTCCAAACTGAAAATGGTAGGAGTGGCAAGAACCAGTAGCCCAGGTAGGGGAGCACAAGGGTTCCATGGCTCCTGGTCACCAGGTCCTTCTTTTCTTCTGTGTGCAGACTTATTTGCACCCAAATGCAGGCCTGGGCTCTGTTACGCCCTTGCAATGGTATGTGCGCCGCAGGGCATGGGAGCACCAGAACACACCCTCCTTTCCATTGCCAATATCCTGCTTTTGTTTGCTGCAAGTAGCTCTGGCCAGGCCCAGGAGAGGGAGCAGGGAGACAAACAAGTACAGGCATGCAGGAGACAGCCAGGCCAGCCTGCTGGGAAGAACACCTGGCTGGAGAGCAACGTCACCAGTCCACATATCTGTGTCAAGGAATGCCTTTAAAGGGCACAGCCAGCTATGTGGCCAAAGTCACTGCCACACATGTCTCTGAAGAACTGGAAGGTGAACAGCTGACAGGAGGGCTGGGTATGGATCCCTAAGCTGTGTTTTGCCACAGAACACAACTGGGTTCTCAGACCACTTAAGAAGTTGCCATGGTAGACTTCAGAGTTCTAGCTTAGCTATCAATTAACAGCTACTATTTATTGAATGCCAGCCATAATCCAGGTCCTATATGAGGTACCTTATTTATATTATCTCTAATCCTGACAACCCTACGGTAGCAGGATTATCCCTGTTTTACAGAAGACTGAAAAGCAGAGTTAAAGTCAAATCATTCTGCAAAGCTGCCCAATACATAATTGATGGAGCTGGAATGTGAAGCTATGTGTGCTTGGCTGCAAAGCCACATCCACTGTACTATGTCACCGGAGTGAGACAGCACATCTCAACAGCTGAGCCTCAGGATTCTCACCTGTGAAAATAAGGAAGCTGGAGCCCTGACAGCTCAAGACCCTTTGAGTGTTAACACTTCGTGATGCTTCTCCTTTAGCCCAAGTACTGAATGTTAAATAGCACAATTCTCCTCCTTCATATACTTCACAGTGTTCAATTCCCCAGCAGTCTCTGTTCTTTTAAACAAAGAACCCAGAACACACTTTGGAACTGTAAGGTGCTACTCGAACATGTCCCACCTCAGATGCTTAGAGGCCATGGACATCATACGTTCTTCCCAAAGCCAAGGCTGTTTTTCTACCTTTCAATTTTTGGAAGTTTCAAGTGAAAGTCAAAATCTGCCCTGGCTGTAGGTAGAAGAGTACCCAGCTGGGAGGTGGTAAAGCTGAGGTCTGAACCAGTCATCCCACTGTCCTGAGGAGCCAGAGTGAATTGAGCTGAAATCCTCAGGTTAGGGGAGATCACCTAGAGGCCTACATACGCTGAGGCTATGCCTAAGGACAACCTCCAAAACTCATCTTCCAAAACATTACTGAGGGGTTCTGAGGGCTTGGGCAGATACAAAGTGCATGGAACCCTGATGGTCAGTTCAGTGGGTCAACCCAGATCCACACAGAGACCTTTTGAGTCAGCAGAGAACATATGAGTTTTTTAAAAAAGATAATCAGTTGAGATTTTCTCTTTCAAGACCTGGATCCATATTCCTTCTCTGCCATTTACCATCTGTGTCACCCAAGGCCAGTTACTTCATGACTCTGAGCCTCAGTTTCCTCACTTGTACATTGCTAATAATATCTTATGGGGTTATGAGAATTAAATTATGTACAGATGTCTTGCATGATGCCTGGCTCACAGAAGGTAGCCAGTAAGTGTTCATTTCTTTCCCTCCCCAATTTGAGACCACCAAGGGCAAATGCAGACAGACCCCTTTTTCTCCTATGCCTAGCAATATGGACCTGCTTCTCAGCCCAGAATGAAACAGATTTCTGTAAGTGAAAAAGAAAGGTCCTAAAATGACCTTTATTTATCTATCCAAATAGAAATCAACTTTTTTTTTTTTTTTTTAAGAGACAGAGTCTTACTCTGTCACCCAGGCTGGAGTGCAGTGGCACAATCATTGCTCACTGTAGTCTGACCTCCCAGGCTCAAGAGATCCTCCTGCCTCAGCCTCCTGAGTAGCTGGGACTACAGGTGCACACCACCATGCCTGGCTAATTTTTTATTTTTTGTAGAGACAGGGTCTCCCTATGTTGCCCAGGCTGGTCTTAAACTCCTGGACTCAGGTGATCCTCCAGCCTTGGCCTCCCAAAGTGCTGGGATTACAGGAAGGAGCCACCAAGCCCAGCTGAAATCAATTGATTCTAATAGATTTCTAATAATTAGGAAATAGTTACTGTGCATCTAGGATGTGTAAGAACAAGCAGGCAAGGTGCTGTGCTGAGAGAAGCCAAGTGAGATAAGATAGAGGCCCAGCCCTCACTTACATCCAAATTCTTCAGACAAAAATGTTTACAGGTAAATTCTCAACCTTATGGGGTAAAAGAACCAGTCATTATTGCAGTGGATTTACACATGTTAAAGCATAAGCCCTCCCATGTCCTGAGGAAGGCCTGGCTGGATGGTCATCCCTTAACCTCCCAGTGAACAGCCAGTTGTAGAGAAGCTTCTTTCAGCCCCTAGCCTCTGAATTGAGTGGGCTGAAGGAGAGAATGGGAAGCTCCCTCCACCACAGCCTGAGGGCACCTGGAGAGCACCACAACTGGGGATGCCAACTTTTCCCCAGGGCCCAGAAGGGCAGATATGACAGGGGCCTAGAGAGACTCTGTTCCATAAGAGCTCAGTCAAAAATCCCTTTATTACTCCTCCTTCCTGCAGATCCTATAGACTGAAACAGTCTGCCAATTAAGCTGTAATTATTATGGAATATGTTATTGTTGTTTTAAAAAATTAACCAAACACATAATGAAGCCTACGAACAGCAAGAAATAAGTGTTGCTAGAGTGCACTGATTCAGTTCCAACCAAAAACCAGGAAGACTGTAGTTTCAAGTATTTTGTGTAGTTGTACTGCAGTTAAAGACAGGGCCTCCATTATTTGGCAAATAATGGAAAAGAGCTTGTGTGCCTCTGAGGAGCCACATAAGTTGCAGAGCTGGGAACCATTCACCTGATCCAAGTCCTTCATTTTTCAGATAAGGAAAAGAGTCCCAGAGGACCTAAGGCACCTGCCAAAGGTTACTGTGAAGCTGGGCAGAGTTATGCATAATTTTTTCCCTTTAAACATGGATTGCTTTGGAACACAAAGGTTCATTTGTTTTCTTCAAGAGATAATGTGTAAACCCAAGCTCATTAAATCAGTATTGGACATTAAGTGAAATTCTATAAAAAGAAAAATGCTTTAAAGATGTCCGACAAAAGCCACTCCCTAATTTACCTCTTTTGTAAATTCCAATTTGAGGTATTTTCTTACTTGGAAGCACAGTGGTAATTGCAGCTCACTTCTCACGCTAGTGTGGTAGGAAAGACAGTGCATTCTCTGCTGAGTATGTATGGCCTGTCAGGCAGGGGTGTATGGGACACAGAAGTTGTATTCTTCATTCCCTTGCTCCCTCTTCCTCCCTCACATGTCACGCCTGATCATGTCCCCATGGAATCTGGTTGCGTCACTTTCCTTGCAACCACAGCCCCAGAACTCCCATAGACTTTGTACTCCCCCAGAGGCCTAGGGTCAAGAACTTAATTTGTTTCACAGAATCCAGCAAGGACCCTGTTCAGGAGCCCAAGAAGTCTAGCTTCTACTTTCTGCCAAGGATGAAACTGAGGCCCAAAGAGGAGCCCTTGAGGATATCCTATAATAAAAGAGGGAGGGGCTAATGGCAGAAACAGCTTTCTGACCAGGTAGTGATGTGGTAACGGATACCTGGGAGAGCAGAGGGTCTGGGTGGTCCCTCCCTGGGGGGAAAGAGCCCTGTGTGGCAGCTATCTCTTCAGAAGTGACTTCAGGAATGTGGCCTCTTATTTGGGGAAGGGAAGAATGTCTACGAAAGTCAGTCAGTACCCCCCAGACTCTAGCTGGGCAAACGGAGCTTGGGGGTAGGGGCAAGAAGATCAGGTTCTCCAGAAAGCCTGGGACAGAACAAGACAAACGGCAGGTGGACTTGGGTGGCATTAGTGGTCTGGCCCTTAAAGGTTCAGGTTGAGAGTTCACTATCTGCTCTAGCTTCTCCTCTTCCTGAGAAGTTGTGTCCTCCCTGGCTTCCCTGCCTCTCCAAGGGTAAAAGGGGTATAGTTCCTGGCTCCTAAAGGAACAACCCTTCTCCTAAGCTGCCTTCCCAGGATTAAGAGAAATTAATGAGGACCTGAAATGTGGCTACTTCAACACTTGGCATCTTAATTCCACATGTAAAAGCTTTCTCCTAAACTCAAGATCAATTTCCATTGGCTCTTTAGAAAACAATCTCAGCCACACCTTCAACAAGTCAGGCAAACTATCCCTTTTTTTACTCTCTGCTAGGAGAGGAAAACAAACCTGAGAATTTCCTCTCCACTAGGAGAAGAAAACAAACCTGCAGCCCCCTGAAGGATGAGAGAAAGTCAGGAAGACAGAAAAAGCTGCCCAGTGAGGCTCCATATGTTAACTCTGTTGAAACTGGTTGCCTCATCTGTAAAATGGGGATATATAATCTCTTTAGGCTGTTGAGAGATTAAAGGATAAAGTGTCTAGCAGGGCGCTTGGTAGAGTCAGCATTGAGGACCAGTTCCCTTCCCCCTTCCCCCTGTCCAGACACTTCCCAGCAATCTACCAGGGTCCGGTCATTCCACAAAACCACATGGTGCACTGCTTTTCTGCCCAGGGCCTGGCCACCTGACTAGTATCCCGGCAGCAAGATCTGGGCACTGGACCTAGCTTAGAGAAGCCAGAAGGGAAAAGTCGACCAGGACCACTGGTGAGGGGGAGGCAGCCTTTTTGGAACAACAGGCTGCTCCCAAAGAATGAAAACAAACCCCACCCTAGCCTGGAATGGCTCCATTCAGAAGGGACCCAGAGGGCCAGAAACCCCCTGGGGAGTTTCTATGGGAGGTGGAGTGGGGCAATGAGCAAAGAAAGCCAGGTTAGAGGTAGAGTTTCCACATCTCCCTCTGAGAAGCCCCACAGAGAGAGGCTCGTGGAGGTACTTAGGCCTAGGGACTGAGGAGGTGTGGGGGCTGGCCCAGCAGCTCAGGAACACTCTAAAGCCCATTGCTCCAGTCTTAGAAGCACTCGCCCAGGTCTTTCCCCAGCAACTACATTCACCTGGGAGCTCAGAAGCCCTTCAAGGCCAGAGGCAAATGTGCCTGCCATTAAGAGAACAAACGTTTATAAGGTGCCTACTGTGTACCAGGCTACCCACACCCAGGACTTGCCAGTTTCCACAGTTTGGCAAAACCTGCCCATCCTGCTTGTTGGGACAAATTCCTGGGCAGGCAGCATGGCCCGCAGGTAAGACATGTGAGAGCTGGAAACAGCACTCTATTTGGGCTATTCCCCCCGGAAGCAGTAACATCTACAATGGGCAGGTCAGTGGCATCTTTTGGAGGCTCCTTCAGGTTTGTCTGGGATAGAAGGGGAGCTGGAGCTCCCTAAGAAGTTCCTTCTGGGTATATCCCTCCCCTCACCACTTCCAGGACATAATGGGGGTACCTCACAAGGCCGATTCTCCTTGGGTATAACCTCCGCTGGCTTCTGCCCGGCAGAACCGATGGTAAAGGACTAAGTGAGAAGGAGATTTAGGGAGACCACCCTCCTCTCAGGACCAGGGGCCAGGAGAGATGGAGAGGGGAACTCGGAGACCAACTCACCGAAACAGGTCTCTGGAGGTGAAGTAAGCCGGGACTGACAAGTAACTCCCCATCTTCTTCCCACACCAGATAGACAGGCTCAGCTGCAAATCCGTCTGTGACTGCCTCAGGCCGGCTGTAGATGGCCACCATGACAGGCCCGGGGCTCCCGGCACCTCTGGCTGCAGGCAGGCTGCCCTGAGCTCACCTCTCCCTCCGGAGCAGCTGCGGGAGCCTGAGGACTCCAGGCCACTTGGCCCCCAGCAGATTCCCACAGGGGCTCATGGCTGGGATGGCTCCTCCCTAGTTCTCAGAAGCTCAGGCGGCCCCTCTGGACTCCGAGAAAACGACCTCTCTGTGGAGGCTACACACACACTGGCATTCTTGAGCAGGGGCCGGTGACTAGCTAAGAAAGAAGCGCTGCTGTCAAGTTAGCCTTCTTCTTCAGTCCCACCCCTGAATGAGGGAGGGAGGGAGGAAGAGGAGGGGCTCCCGCAGAACCGAGGTGTGTGGTTGGAGCAGCTGTTAGGAAACAGACCTTGCAGGCAAGGGGTGGAGCTGGGCTGGATCGAGGCTGCAGGCAGGCGCTGCAGACAATAACTGGGACCAATTGAGCGTCCATCCTGAGCTCAGGGAAGGGCAAGGCAGGATAGAGTGTGAACATATCTGGCCCCAGATGTCCTCAAGCAGAGGAGCTGCCTACAGGACAGTAATTCTGCTTGGAGGTGGAAAAAAAAAAAAAGCAGAGGATGCCAGGTCCAGGAAGAGCCACACCAGACGGGGGGACCTCTGGTAGGAGAGACAGGTCCAGAGAGCCATCCTAGCTCTGAGCTGCCATCTGTTCTGTCCTGGCACTAGGGCTCCCATTCATTCCCTCCCTCTGCCTGTCCTGGGGACAGCCTCAAGAGCTGACCAATGGGAGGTGCCACTTCCACTCCAGGGCAGGGCTGTGTTGCAAATAAGGAAACAAGGCCCAGAGTATTAACCTACACCTGATGTGTCTCCATGTGGCAAACACTATATGCACTCTTTTATTTCTCTGAGACAGGAATTATTCCCACTCTACAGACAAGAAAAGTGAGGTACAGAGAGATTAGGTAACTCACTCAAGGTCAAAAAGGGAGTCAGTGGCAGGGCTGGAATTTAAATGTAGGCTCATGTGACTCTAGAGCTGGAGCTCTCCCACTACCAGGCTTCATTCTGGCTCTTTAAGGAGAAAAATCTTTTCCAAAGCTCTCTGCAAATAGGATGGAGCCCAGGTTACTCTCATTCACTCACTATTCACTGAGTGTTCACATGCAGAACACCATCCATTGGCCTCAGTGGACAGTGGAGCTTCTTCTACTTGTCCTGTGATAACCATGCTTTTCAAACTGAAAAATGGGGCATGAGGGAGAAAAAGGCCTGGGGTGCCAAAAGGGATTGATAAGCCTAGGTATCTGGAATGGGAGCCCACCTGAACAGCCCCCAGTTGTGACGATGACCAAACCAGAGCCTACCATGTAGAAAGCCCTTGTCTCCCTGCCTGCAGGATTGTAAAGGAAAAAGCAAGGCTGCTGGAGGAAACCAGAACACTCAGATCTCACTACTGGATTTGGGGCAGTGACATCAGCTCTCCCTTACCAGGCACACACCGCTCACCATTGTAAAGAGCCAGAAGTCACCGTGCAGCTTCTATCTCTTACTGTGAACCATGGCAGGAAAGTCTGATAAAGATGGTAGATGGGGTTACAAGGGAGCCTTTTCCCATTCCACCAACTGGACACAGGGACAACAATGCATGTGATAAGAGCACATGGGTTTGAATACTGTTAAGAAGCTACCATTTATTGAGCAGTTAATATCTTCTAGGCCCTGTGTTAAGTGCTTAGCATTTATTATCCATCATGTTTAAATTGCCAGTAAAAGGAGGAAACGTCATCAGCCTCATTTAACAGATTAGGAAATAGGTTCTGAGGGGTTATGTCACTATTCTCAAGACAAATAGCTGATAAGTGGTGAGGGTGTTTTTTTTTTTTGTTTTTTTTTTTTTGAGTCAGGGTCTCTCTCTGTCACTCAGGCTGGAGTGCGGTGATGCCATCATGGCTCACTACAATCTTGACCTCGACCTTCTGGACTCAAGTGATCCTCTCACCTCAGCCTCCAGAGTAGCTGGGACTACAGATGCGTGCCATCACACCCAGCTGTGAGGCTGAGTTTCAAACCTGGTACATATGGCTCTAGAGCACAGGTCAAGGCACTTTTTCTGTAAAGGGCCAGAGAGCAAATATCTTAGGCTCTGCAGGCCATACAGACTGTCGTGGCCACTCAATTGTGTCATTATAGGGCAAAAGCAGCCATATATAAAACATAAACTAAGGGACATGGCTATGTTCCAACAGATATTTACTTATGGAAAGATTTTTTTCTTTTTTTTTTTTTTCTTTTGAGATTCAGTCTCACACTGTTGCCCTGGCTAAAGTGCAGTGGTATAAACATGGTTCATTGTAGTCTCAACCACCTAAGCTCAAGTGATCCTCCTACCTAAGCCTCCAGTGCATCCTGGGACCACACGTGCTGGCCACCATACCCAGCGTGTGTGTGTGTGTGTGTGTGTGTGTGTGTGTGCGTGCGTGCGTGTGTCGGAGTCTCGCTCTGTTGCCCAGGCTGCAGTGTAGTGTCGCGATCTTGGCTCACTGCAACCTCCGCCTCCCAGGTTCAAGCAATTCTCTTGTCTCAGCCTCCCAAGTAGCTGGGACTACAGGCGCATGCCACCATGCTCGGCTAATTTTTGTGTTTTTAGTACAGACAGGGTTTCACCATATTGGTCAGGCTGGTCTTGAACTCCTGACCTCAGGTGATCCACTTGCCTCGGCCTCCCAAAGTGCTGAGATTATAGGTGTGAGCCACTGCGCCCGGCCCTGGCTTATTTTTTTTTATTTTTTGTAGAGACAGGGTCTCACTTTGTTGCCCAGGCTGGGACACTGATATTTGAGTTTCATGTAATTTCCACATGTCACAAAGCATTCTTTTGCTTTTTTTCCCCTAACCATTAAAAATCACAGGTCATATAGGCCAGGCATAGTGGCTCATGCCTATAATCCCAGCATTCGAGAGGCCAAGGAGGGAGGACTGCTTGAAGCCAGAAGTTTGAGACCAGCCTGGGTAACAAACCAAGACCCTATCTCTACTAAAAAAATCAGTCAATCAGGCCAGTCATGGTGGCTCACGCCTGTAATCCCAGCACTTTGGAAGGCTGAGGCGGGCAGATCACCTGAGGTTGGAAGTTCGAGACTAGCCTGACCAACATGGAGAAACCCTGTCTCTACTAAAAATACAAAAATTAGCCAGGCGTGGTGGCACATGCCTGTAATCCCAGCTACTCGAGAGGCTGAGACAGGAGAATCGCTTGAACCCAGGAGGCAGAGGTTGCGGTGAGCTGAGTTCGTGCCATTGCATTCCAGCCTGGGCAACAAGAGTGAAACTCTGTCTCAAAAAGAAAAAAAAAATCAATCAATCACAGGCCGTATTAAAATAGGCAATGGGCCATAGCTTGCCGGCCTCTGTTCTAGAACCACAGAGCTCAACCACTCTGTTTACTACCTCTAATAGTGAAGAACAGCTCTTGGTGTTTGTGCAGAGCTCAGCCATATCTATCTATCTATACCACGAAGACACCACACTCTAGCCCCAGAGGCAGCCAGAAGAAGGAAGCACTGAACAGGTGCTCACCCTGTATTAAACATTGCTTGCAGCACTACTTGTATGAATGAATTTTAACCCCCACTATTCCACAGTGCTGTGATTTTTCTCTTTACAGATAAAGCAACTGAGGTACAGGGAGGTTAAATCACTTGCCTGAGGTCACTCAGCTGTAAATGTGAGAAGTGAAGCCAGGATTTGAACCCAGACTAGACATTATAGACAACGTTCTACCATGCTATACCAAAGCTCAGCCTGGGCCCAGAGCCAGACTGTCTGGGTTTGAATGCGACAATGCACTGCATGTAAGCCCTTGGCACAAAGTCTGGGACACATTAAAGGTTGATAAATGTTAGCCATTAATATCATTAAGACTATTGTTACAACTACTGTGGGCTAGCTATGTGGCCTTTAGCAAGTCACTCTCTCTGTCTGGGCCTTGGTTAGGTCTCTAAATAGCTCCCAGCATCAACATTTTTCACCCCTATGAGGTTGCAGAGGGCTCTCTATTTTCCTTGGGTCTCAAGTTGAGTTTAAACTCTTGAGCAGGAGGTCAGGATCCTAGCCGAGGGGACACACAAGGGCCACAGAGGAGGTGAGGTGGGCTGGAAGTGGGGAAATAACATACGGGATACTGAAAGGGCTGCCCAGCTGGAGAGCTGGGAGCAATCTTTCTCCCAGCCACACAGACAACTATTTCTCACCAAAAATCTATTATGTTCCCCTGTAATTCAATCAGGCAAGAAGGGGGCCCCAAATTAAGTCTGGGACTAGCAAATTATCTTTTAATTGTACCCTCTGATTTCCATGTGATGAACACAGTACTAATGGAAGAATATGCAAGCCACAAAGAGACTGAGGCCAGGGAGCCTATGAGCATAACTCCTCTTGACATTTCACACAGCTCTGCTGTTCCAGCGGCGACGGGCTCAGTGAGTCGGTGTCTAGGAATGTGAGCAGGAGGCTGCAGGCGCTCTCCTCTCCCCCTACTCCTCTTACAAAGGACTTGGTGGGTGGGTGGGGAATAAGTGAGAGGACATCTCAATGCCATGAAAACTGCCTCCCCCTGGAAGAGGAACAGCCTTCTCCCCATGTCCTGAGTTGAAGCAGAAGCCCCTCCCAGGTGGAATCCATTTGACCTCCAAAAATTCAGACTTCAGGAGGAACCTTTGAAGGATTGATCACCAGATGTGATAAGCTGCTGGCTGCTCAGACCCAAGTGTGTGGTTCCTCAGAGCCAACTTCAAAGGGCCCAAGCCACCCATCACTGGGAGATGAAATGTCACACTGGAGGATATATTTCACCCTCCCACCCTTGGAAACTGGTCCTGGATAGAAAACTGCTCTTCTAGGTCCTCAGAGCAGCTGGCAGAACATTCATCAGTTATGGCTGCCAGAGGCAACTGCAGGAATCCTTTGACTGGCAATTATAGTAGGGATAAAATGGCAGGAGAGGTGTTAATCTCCAGCACATTTCATAAGTTGGAAACCTGGCACGGAGCTGAACAAACTGACTCCTTAGAACCAGCTGAGGCACAGGTCTTCAAAGCGTCTGTGACAGGCTGGAGAACAATAGCCTTCATAACCGGCAGCCCCAAGTGAATGTTCAGGCAAGGTGTGGTAAGTGAATGAATCACCCCAACCTTTTGTCGGAAGAAAGCTCTGGTCAAACAATTCAAAACCCAAGAAACTGTTTGTGTGAAGCCCTCTATTGGCTGGGAGGACTCCAATCAAGGAAGAGAATTTTTGAGGACTCCGAAGCCTCCAAATACTGAAAGGTAAGCATTACCACCCCCATCTACTAACCATCTTTCGTGCCCCACTCCTCCCCTCTTCCAAATCACTTTCTACATTATAGCAGCAGTCATCCTTCTAAAACAAGGGTCCCGGGCAGGCATGGTGGCTCATGCCTGTAATCCCAGCACTTTGGGAGGCTGAGGCAGGCAGATCACTTGAGGTCAAGTGTTCGTGACCAACCTGGCCAACATGGAGAAACTCCATCTCTGCTAAAAATACAAAATTAGCTGGATGTGGTGGTGTGTGCCCGTAATCCCAGCTACTGCGGAGGCTGAGGCAAGAGAATCGCTTGAACCCGGGAGGCGGAGGTTGCGGTGAGCCAAGATCATGCCATTGCACACCAGCCTAGGTGACAGAGCCAGACTCCGTCTCAATAAATAAATAAATAAAATGTCCCAGCAATTCCCAGCTTCACAGGGTTATGAGCATTAAATGAGAACATATGTGAACAAGCTCACTTCAGTATCTGGCTCATGGAACTCAGTCAGTGTTTTACAGAGTGAGAGTTTAGTATCTGCTACTCCTGTAATGTGATGTCATGTTCACAAACACCAGGTAAAAGACAATATTTGGCATCTATCTTAGGTATCATGGAAAGAGAAAAGAATTTGGCATCTGGATAGAACTTTAGAGATTTAGTCTAATCCTTTGTTTTACAGTTCATGAACTTGAAACTAGGAATGGAGAATTGGAAGCCCAAGACATATGAGGATACCAAGTCACATGAAATGTGTTCAGATTTTCAGACTGGGAGAATTATTTCCCAATATATTGAAAAAAGAAAATATGTTGGCACAGTGATGGAACCATTGTTAGTAACTTTGGAGAAACTGGAGAATGGGTGCAATATCTCCAAAGTGTAATGTTCCATATCTACTATATACCAGGCGCTGGGGATGTATTCATGAAATAAAAATGGAGATAGCTAACTGGCCCAGTTTTCAAAAAGGAGGAAAAACATACTGGAAAAAGGAAGCCTTATGATCCTTTTGCTTTGATTCCTTCACATAAATTCTAGGCAGATGATGGAATAAGTGGACAGTAAGCACTTAGAAAAGGAGCTGATCATCAGGAGTCAGCAGTAGTGAAATAGTAGTGACTAGTTAGACTTGACTTCATGTTTTCACTGGGTTACTCATCATGAGACCTTATCTTGGATTTCCACAGGCATTTGATAAACTCTTTCCTGATATCCAGACAGTAAGAATGTGGGCAGGAAATCTAGAAAAATCAGATACAAGAACTCAACATACCCAGCAATTTGAGGCTCTAAACTGTAGAGGCAGGATTCCTGAATACCTTGCTAGAGCTCACATTGAGGAAAGGGCATGGGATTTGAGCTCAGAAAACTTTTCTTTTAATTTCAGTGCTGCCCTTCCCAGCAGCATAAACTTGGATAAATTATTTAACATCTCTGGGCTTCCCTTGTCCTGCTTGTGCTATATTCCTCAAGAGGTTGTTGCAGGAACTAAACTAGATGATGAGTACAAAAGCCCTCTGTAAACTGAAGATGCATTATAAACATTAGTTATTATCACTGTTCTAGTGCTATAGTTGCTCATCATGGGGGTCCTGAATCATAGGTTTCTTTACTAGGCATCTGTGGACACCTGGTATGGGCCAGGCCTATGCTGGGCACTGACAGTACCTAGTGCCTGCCTTCACGTAGTTTGATCTGGTGATAGACAGATATGGCCACAGGGTCCTTCCTGGGTGTGATGTGCTTGGAGACACATTGAAGGAACCCTTCCCAGAGGAGAATGAATGCTGTGTCAGAGCAGGGCCTGGAAAAAGGAGGAGAAGACAGCACCTGCAGGAGATGTAGGAGGCTGTAAAAGGAGTTAAGAGAGCAAAGGTTTGGGGGACTCCCAGGGAGCCTTATGTGGTGAGTCATCAATGGAGTACAGCAGGAGGTGACCAGAGCCGTTCCTGAGGGAACTAAGGTTCACAGAGAAGGTTGCTGTTTAAGGTCACAGGTCTAGGAACTGACAAAGCTGGAGTTTGACCCAAGTCTTTGGACTCCAGGTCCAACATACTAAAACTGCCTCAAATAACTATTTTATTCTTGCCATTTGATTTACAGTAATATTTCTGAAAGTGTAACTAAAGGAATAGCAGCATTGGACCCTCTGGTCAGCTTGTTGAAAATCAAGATTCCTGAGTCCCACTTCAGATATACAGAATCAGAATCGCTGAGACTGGGGCTAAGAATCTGCATTTTAAACAAGCCCCAGTGTTTCTGATCCACACTAACAATTGAAAACCAATGCTTTTCTTTTTCCTAAGTGCTTTTCCACTTGATTTCATTTTATTCTCACAATAACCCTCAGAGGCAGGCAGGATAGATCACTATCATTACCTTGTTACAAACGAGAAAATGAATGTACAGATAGCTTGTTCATCTTCTTATCCTGAACGTAGCTTAATAAATAAATGTTTGGTGATTGACATTTTGTTAAGCCTTGGCTAAGTAGAGACTTTCACCTTCCTGGTGCCACTCTTACCCATTTGTAACCCCACAGTAGCTGCCTCTCTCTTTCCTTGGTGACGCGGCAGTGGTGCTCACGTTATGGTATAAAAAGGTGATTCTAGGCCAGGCGCGGTGACTCACACCTGTAATCCCAGCACTTTGGGAGGCTGAAGCAGGCAGATCACAAAGTCAGGAGATCGAGACCATCCTGGCCAACACGGTGAAACCCCGTCTCTACTAAAACACATAAAATTAGCCAGGAGTGGGGGTGTGCGCCTGTAGTAACAGCTCCTCGGGAGGCTGAGGCAGGGGAATCACTTGAACCCGGAAGGTGGAGATTGCAGTGAGCTGAGATTGTGCCACTGCACTCCAGCCTGGCGACACAGCGAGACTCCAACTCAAAAAAAAAAAAAAAGTGATTCTAGAAGATAGCGTCATTCCATGAAAGTGCTATCTCTGGAACTAAAACAAATTTCAAACAAACAAACGTGAGGGATGACATTAGCCAACTTCAGAAACGGTGCTTCTGCAAGAGTCAGTGCTACTGATGGCAGTGGAGCACCCTCTGATCTCAGCAAAATCTCTATAGGGCATCATCAGGAAGTCATGACCAGAATACAGCTGACACACAAAAGAAAACAACCTTAACTCAAGTCTGGCATGAGATGCTGAGGGTTTTTTTTGTAATCGTAAGCAGTATGGAGAAAGAATTTGTTAGCACACTTCCAGCACTGCCCATGGGAGAAGGGACTCTAGCTTTTGGGGGAAAAATGAAAAACACGGCAAAATAAGCACAGCAGGTTGCTACAGTTGCAGAAGGCATGCCATTCCTTGAGGCCCTGGTTTTGATGGTTTAAGACTTAGGGATGACATTTACAGACTGAGGTCTTAGTCTACATAAGTTTGAGCTTATCTTATCACCTCAAAAGATAAGCTCTTGCCTAAAAGAATATTGTAGAGCGAAGAGATGGTAATGGTGCATACTGGATGGACTTTATTCAAGTGTCCAAAGAGTCGTTCAACAAATACATCATTCACCCAGCAAACACTCTGAGCACCCACTACATTCTAGGCACTTTGCTAAGCTCTGGGATACAAAGACAAACTAGATACGGCTCCACACTTGGAGAATTTCACACTCTAAGAGTGATGCTAGATGTGTAAACAAATACTGAAATGGATATAACTGAGGTATGAAGAGAATAACGAAGAGAATAACAAAGAGAGAAGAAGTCTCTGATTGGTGGGGAGAGGTATGGGTGGATTTGGCGGGGGGCTCCTCCACAGAAGATGGGATGGTATTGGCAGACTCTAATAGGCTGATTGCCAGGCAGTAACAGGCATTCTGGCCTGAAGGAACAACATGTGCAAATGCACTGAGGCATAAAGAGTATGGTATGCTCATATAACGCTGAGCAGGTCTGTAAGCTCTAGTGCATGGCACATATGGGCAGCAATTAGACAGGAGGCCAGAATGGTGGAAGAGAGTAGGGGCAGAGCACTAAAGACCAAGTCTGCTAGGCTAAAGAGTTGCCTACAGGCAGTGAAGAGCTATCAGAGGTATTTAAGCAAGCAGTGATTTTTAACAGAACGCAAAGCTGAAATGCCAAAGAGAATGCTGATCTTTAGTTGCCAGTTTGGCTCTCTGAATGGGTATAAATGCCTAAAGTCTACAGTTGGCCGTGTATATGCCCATGTGAAATTTGCTGGCCAACTAGTGTTCACTAACAGCAGAGTATGCCTTTGTCCTGGGGCCACATCTCTACTGCCTTGTCATTTTAACAGCTGATATTTGTCTATATGGGCTGTAAGCACATAAGCATGGAATTGCAACCCCTTATAGATAATCATCCACTGTTGCTCCATGATACTAATTAGAAAATTGAATGTCTAACATTGAGTAACAAATGCTGTGTTGACAGGGACATCCTTCTCCAGGCTGCACTGGGAAAAATGCTTCGGATATCTCAAGAAATCTCTAGGCAATTCAAGGAAAAAAGCCCTCGTCTGGCAGGGAACACCTGAAAAATCACCCTGGTTAACAGAAAATCTGCGTGTGATCTTAGGCAAGCCATTAAATCTCTCTGGGCTTCAACTTCTTCCTCTGTAAAAGGAAGGAGTTAGGTGAGCAAAAAATTCCATACCCATTACAGGTCAATGCTTAAAGAAGCAACGAGGAAGGAGGTGTGATCAAAGGAAGGTTGACTGGTGGACCACCCAGAGAACTCTTCAAGGCTGATGTTTTCTTGGTGAATGACCCTAATCTAGGCCTAGCTTTTGGCCTTTCAGGTTTTTGACCTTCCTAATGTCCAAAGAGGTGTAGACATTCTGTGATGGTTCTGACCTAACCATTTATCAAACCCTCTGTACACTTATGAATTGACTATTAAAATCAGAACACTCATATCCCCTATACAGGTACTACTTCCAGACCCTTCCTGTTATTAAGTATCCCAGGAAGCTGAATTAGGCATCAGAAGGTTGCTCTGTGAGCATGGACTTAAAATAAAGGGAAATGAGTAGCCACTGAAAGAAATTTCATCCTGGCAGTGGTGAGTCAGCCAAACTAGCCCAGGTTGCCACAAAGGACCCTATTCTGGTGACCAAATCTAGATTCAGCATCTTTATCTGAATACAGTACTAGTTTTGCTTCACTAACTTTTCACTTTCTGTTTCATTGCTGGCCACTTATTTATTATATTGGTTTTGGTTTTTTTTTTTTTTTTTTGAGACAGTGTCTCCCTCTGTCACCCAGGCTGAAGTGCAGTGGCACAAACTCGGCTCACTACAACCTCCACCTCCTGGGTTCAAGCAATTCTCCTGCCTCGGCCTCCCAAGTAGCTGGGATTACAGGGACCTGCCATCATGCCTGGCTAATTTTTGTACTTTTTTTTTTTTTTAGCAGAGACAGGGTTTCACCATGTTGGCCAGGCTAGTCTCGAACTCCTGACCTCAAATGATCTGCCCACCTCGGCCTCCCAAAGTGCTGGGATTACAGGTGTGAGCCACTGCGCTCGGCCTTATATTGGTTTTTAAACTAAGTTTTAATTGAAAAAAATAACTACTTCTTTAGATATGTGCGACAATCACCAATTCACACATATTATTCAGCCCTGGCAGACATTTGCCTCTCTAGTAACTAATAACAAAGAACAAACATTCATGAGTGCTCTGTGAATAGTGTTCCCAGTGCTACACACACTTTTATTCACAGTAATACTGTGAGGGTAGGTTGTAAGGAGGTAGGTAGTAAGTTTGTATCTCCATTTCTTCTTTTTTTTTTTTTTTGAGACGGAATCTCACTCTACTGGAGGGCAGTGGCGCGATCTCAGCACACTGCAACCTCCATCTCCCAGGTTCAAGCTATTCTCCTGCCTTAGTCTCCTAAGTAGCTGGGATTACAGGTGCCTGCCATCGTGCCTGGCTAATTTTTGTAATTTTAGTAGAGACAAGGTTTCACCATGTTGGCCAGGCTGGTCTGGAACTCCTGACCTCAGGTGATCCGCCCGCCTCGACCTCCCAAAGTGCTGGGATTACAGGCGCGAGCCACCGCGCCCAACCTCCATTTTTTTTTTTTTTTTTGAGACAGAGTCTTGCTCTGTCGCCCAGGCTGGACTGCAGTGGCGCGATCTCAGCTCACTGCAAGCTCCGCCTCCCGGGTTCACGCCATTCTCCTGCCTCAGCCTCCTGAGTAGCAGGGACTACAGGTGCCTGCCACCATGCCTGGCTAATTTTGTGTATTTTTAGTAGAGACGCGGTTTCACTGTGTTAGCCAGGATGGTCTCGATCTCCTGACCTTGTGATCCGCCCCCCTCGGCCTCCCAAAGTGCTGGGATTACATGCGTGAGCCACCGTGCCTGCTGGCCTCCATATTTTTTTATTTTATTTTATTTTATTTTATTTTATTTTATGTTTATTTATTTATTGAGACAGAGTCTCGCTCTGTCTCCCAGGCTGGAGTGCAGTGACATGATGTTGGCCCACTGCAACCTCCGCCTCCTGGGTTCAAGCGATTCTCGTGCCTCAGCCTCCAAGTGAGTAGCTGGGACTACAGGAGCATGCCACCATGCCTGGCTAATTTTTGTATTTTCAGTTGAGATGGGGTTTCACCATGTTGGCCAGGCTAGTCTCGATCTCCTGACCTCAAGTGATCCACCTGCCTTGGCCTCCCAAAGTGCTGGGATTACTGGCGTGAGCAAACGCGCCTGGCTCGTTTCTTTTTTTTTTTTTTTTTGAGATAGGGTCTTGCTCTGTCATCCAGGCTGGCATGTAGTGGTGCAGTCATGGTTCACTGCAGCCTCAACCTCCTGGGCTCAAGCAATCCTCTCGCCTCAGCCTCCTGAGTAGCTGGGACCACAGGCATGAGCCACCATGCCTGGCTAAATTTTTGATTTTTTGTGGGGATGAGGTCTTGCTCTGTTACCCAGACTGATCTTGAAACTCCTGAGTTCAAGCAATCCTCCCGCCTAGGCCTCCCAAAGTGCTGATATTATAAGTGTAAGCCCTGCACCCAGCCTGTATCTCCAGTTTGTTTTTTTTTTTTTTTTTTAGACTGAGTCTAGCTCTTGTCACCCAGGCTGGAGTGCAGTGGTGCAATCCTGGCTCACTACAACCTCTGCCTTCCAGGTTCAAGTGTTTCTCCCGCCTCAGGCTCCTGGGTAGCTGGGATTACAGGCACCCGCCATCATGCCTGGCTAATTTTTGTATTTTTGTAGAGACAGGGTTTCACCATGTTGGCCAGGCTGGTCTTGAACTTCTCACCTCAGGTGATCTGCCCACCTCGGCCTCCCAAAGTGCTGGGATTATAGGCATGAGCCACTACGCCTGGCCTCTCCATTTTCTAGATGAGAAAAATGAAGCACACAAAGGGCAAGTAACTTGCCCAAAGTACACAGATAATAAAAGGCAGAACCAGGATTTGAAACTAAGCAATCTGGTTCTAGAGTGTGCTCTTAACTACAACACAATACTGCTTTCATTACTTGTGGATCTAATTAGTTCAACTCACAGAGGACAAACTTCATTTCCAACTTCTTGGGGGAACTGCCAACCTATCCACCCCACTCCCCATCATAAATCACCTATAAGTAAAAGATACTATGCAAGTATTCCATTTTTTCCACTCTATATTGAATATATATCTTTAGTTAATGCCATCTTTCAAATATACAATTTAAGAAAACAAAATGAAACAAAACAAACTTACGATTGGAATTGAAATTTTTCAGATTTCAGGGCAATTCATAATCAGTTTGGTGGCTAGAGTAGCTGAACTCATTCTTCCTCTCTTGCCCTCCTCTCCGGAGGTACCTAGGGCTTGTTCCTGCCTGGATTGTAGCTACAGAGAAGTGCAGCTCAAGACCTGCTGCTGGAAAGAAGGACTCCTGGGGTCAGCTTCTCTGGCTTCTACTCACTATGGGATAGCTCCTCTGAGGGCAAAAGACAAAGCTTTAACTTATCACCCTGACACTTGCAGGCAATTTTCTAAAACAACCCAATGTCCGGAACTGATTCCGTCTTGCCATTTACAGTAACTGCAGCCACGGTGGCTGCTATAGGAAGGATGTGGGGAAGGGGAAGGGGAAGGGCAGGGAAAAGCCTGACTTACATCATATCTCTTGGCCACCTCTAGCAATTCATTCAACAAATATCCCTCCTATGCCAACAATATGCTCAGTGCTGACACAATGAGGGGCAAAAACCCCACAGTCCATGACCAAATTGTTCTATTAGAGGTCTTAAGATATCATTAAGGAGATGATCACATGAATAAATGTGAGATTAAAACTACTTTTTTAAAAAAAGCCTCAAAGGAAAGGTCTATGAAAACATAAAACAGGGACCTAACCTATTTTTCAGGGTGAGGAATTACTTCTATATTTCTCTGAGCCATCCAGGTAAAGATCTAAACGATAAGCAGGAGTTAAGTGAACAGAGTAAGGGGGCATTCTAGGCAGAGGGAGCAGAATGAACAAAGCCCTTGTCAGAAGGAGGGCCTGTCCAGAAGAGAGGTGAGGCTGAAGTGCAGGGAGCAGGAGGTTGTGGAGATGTGGAGAGAGGCCACATTACGGAGGGCTCTACTGTAGGCCAAATTAAGGAATTTTTTTTTTTTTTTTTTTTTTTGAGATGGAGTCTTACTCTGTCACCAGGCTGGAGTGCAGTGGCGTGATCTGGGCTCACTGCAACCTCTGCCTCCCAGGTTCAAGTGATTCTCCTGCCTCAGCCTCCCAAGTAGCTGGGACTACAGGCACACGCCACCACGACCAGCTAATTTTTGTATTTTTAGTAGAGATGGGGTTTCACCATGTTGGCCAGGATGGTCTCAATCTCTTGACTTCATGATCTGCCTGCCTCGGCCTCCCAAAGTGCTGAGATGATAGGTGTGAGCCACCGCGCCTGGCCAAGTTAAGGATTTTGGTCTTTATCCAAGAACACTGGGAAGTTGTGGAAGTATACAAGGTAGGAGAGACAACACAGAGTGACACAGTCAAGTTTTTTTTTGTTTTTTTTTTTTTTAAGATCACTCCTTCCAGCCAGGTGCAGTGGCTCACACCTGTAATCCCAGCACTTTGGGAGGCCGAGGCAGGTGGATCACTTGAGGTCAGGAGTTCGAGACTAGCTTGGCCAACATGGCAAAACCCCATCTCTACTAAAAATATAAAAATTAGCTGGGTATGGGGGCCGGTGCCTTAATCCCAGCTACTTGGGAGGCTGAGGCAGGAGAATTGCTTAAACCCGGGAGGCAGAAGTTGCAGTGAGCCGAAATTGTGCCACTGCACTCCAGCCTGGGGAACAGAGTGAGACTCTGTCTAAAACAAAACAAAACAAACAACAAAAATCACTCCTTCCAACTGCTCTATAGAGAACAGATTAGGGGGTGCAGAGTGGCTGTGGGAGATGAGGCTATTGCAGACATCCAGGTGAGATGATGGTAGCTTGGAGCAGGGTGGTGGTGGGAGAAAAGGAAAGAAGTAAACCTACCAAAATATAATTTAGAGATAAAACTGATAGGCTTGGATATGCAGGATGAGAGAGAACAGGTATCAAGGATTCCTAGGTTTCTGGCTTAGGCACTGGGTGGATGGTGGTGCCTCTCAATGACATACATGTTTCAGTGGAAGAGGAGCCAGTTTTAGGGGGAAGAGTGAAAGTCCAGCAAAGTCTAGAGAAGAGAGTCTGAAGTGCCTGGAAGACATTCAAATGGACAAGCCAGGTTGATAGTACAACATATGGGTCTAGAACTCAGTGGAAAGGTTTAGGCTGGAGATACTGATTTTAGGGTCATCAGTGTGTGGAGGACAATGGAAGGAAGTCATGAGTGTGTGTAAGACTGCCTAAGGAGAAAACAGCACGCCTGAAGGAATGGTAACATCCCAGAGCTGGACAAAGAAGGATAAGCAAACAGGTATTACCAGAGAGGTAAGAGAAAACCAGGAGAGTGTGGAATGTCATGAAAGCCAAGGGAAGAGAACATTTCAAGACTGACAGATACTAATAATAAATGCTAACATCTGTTAAGTCCCAGTCATGGCCAGACATTCTGCTCAGGACTTTGAATACATGATTGAATTTAATGTTAACAACTTTTTGAGGTGGGAGCCATTTCCCTTTTCATAGACAAGGAAACTGTGGCAAAGAATGGTTAAGCAGCTGACTCATGGTCAGGTGGCTGGTAAGTGAAGCTGGCATTTAAGCTCAAGCAGCCTGACTCCGAACTTTATCCACTTTTCTCTAATACAACCCTTAGTGCAGTTTGGGAGGTCATATAAGATGAAGCCTGAAGAGTGGTCGGTAGACAGACTGATGAAGCTGTTATTCGGAAT
Source organism: Homo sapiens (assembly GCF_000001405.40). Lineage (NCBI taxonomy): Eukaryota > Metazoa > Chordata > Mammalia > Primates > Hominidae > Homo > Homo sapiens. The sequence continues at coordinate 31,233,019 of NC_000022.11, read as the reverse complement.
ATTACTAAAGGAATGTTGTTTCAGGGGAGAAACAGAATGAAAGCCAGGCTGGAGCCCATGGTTAGGAATGCTCCATGACATTCTCTATTTCCAGCTGTCTTAGGGAACCAGTTAAGAGACCAGGCCAGGTGCCGTGGCTCATACCTGTAATCCCAACACTTTGTGAGGCCCAGGTGGGAGGATCTCGAGCCCAGGAGTTTGAGACCAGCCTGGGCAACAGAGCAAGACCCTGTCTCTACAAAAAATTAAAAAAAAATTAGCTGGGCATGGTAGTGTGTGCCTGTAGTCCCAGCTACTCAGGAGGATTGTTTAAGCCTGGGAGATTGAGGCTATAGTAAGCTATCATCATGCCACTGCACTCCAGCCTGGGCAATAGAGCAAGACCTATCTCAAAAATAAATAAGCTAATTAATGAATTAATTAAGAGGCCAGGCTAGTATGCCAACTCCGTATCCCCCACAGTGCCTAATTTGATGACTTTTATATATAGCAAATGACGCTTGATATATTTGGATAGTTAATATAAGATGCACAATGTTGCCATGTGCTGCTGCTAATCCTTCACATTAAACCATTCTAATGTTTTCAGAGTCCTTGATCATCACAACTACTCCATGAGATGGATTTCTTTTATGACATTTTACAGATAAGAAACTGAGGCTCACAGGGGCTAAGGAACTTGCCCACAGTTACACAGTTAGCCTAGCTCAACTAAGACTCAAATCAGATTTTCTGTCTCCAAGTCTACTGTTTTTTTTTTTTTTTTCTCCTGGGAGTCCTAGTGGAAAGCAGACTCTCTTGGGAGCCAGGGAGACCTGAGTTCAAATATCATCTGTGTGACCCTGGACAAGTTACTCCAAACCTTTCTGGGCCTTCCTGTTTTAGTATAAAATGGGGGTTGCACTGGCCAGGCACAGTGGCTTACTTCCGTAATCCCAAGCACTTTGGGAGGCTGGGGCAGGAGGATCGCTGGAGTTCAAGACCAGCCTGGGCAACATAGTATTAATAAGACCTTGTTTCTACTTAAAATAAAAAAAAATGGCAAGGTGTGGTGGCACGCCTGTAGTCCAAGCTGCTTGCAAGGCTGAGGTGGGAGGATTGCTTGAGCTCAGGAGGTTGACACTGCAGTGAACTATGATTGTACCAGTGCACTGTAGCCTGGACAACAGAGCAAGACCCTGTCTCAAAAAAAGGTGGGGGTTGCAGGGTTATTATGAAGATTGAATCAGATAATCTAAGTGAGGTTCTTAATACAACGTTTAATTAATATCAGTTATCTATCTCTGGCCTCATCTCTCTCCATTTTTCTACCTCTGCCTCCTATAGAAGCTGTGAAACATCTGTGGGTCCTTAGTTCTCTCTTCTCAAAGTAAAGAGCAGGATTAAGGCACATTCAAGCTCATATGCTGCTGCTACATCCTAGGAGTACCACTCTGTGGTCAGGCTGGAGTCTCTTGTAGGGGCAGAGGAAGAACCAGATGTCTGCCCTTCCTTCCTCTGTCAGGCAGGCCCCAGCCCCCTGTCCAATAGCCAGCCTTAATGATCTACGGGCTGGCTGTTTCCTAAAAGATAAACTGGACAAATGAGTAAACACCTTCTGGAGAAGGCCACAGCCAGAATCAAAGGTTTAGGTTAGTAAGTGTGGCAGCAACATCAACAGCATAACAGCAGATGGCAGGGTTGCTCCACTGACTCTACATCAGGAGCCTGAGACCCAGAAGAAAGTTAACAGCACTTTTGTTGACATTATAGAGTCCATGAAGCCTTTAAACTAACACCCTTCAATGTTATCTGACACTACCAGTGTGTGGCAGGCAGGGTGAGGGCTCTTTACCCCATATTATATAAGAGGAAACTGAGCCTCAGTGAGGTTAAGAAATATGCTTGCATTCAAGAATGCCAAGAGACTCTTGCAGGCAAGGAGTAAGAATGCCTGAGTTCAAATCTCAGCTATGCTACCTATTAGCTCTGTGACTTTAAACAAGTAACCTCCATTTCCCTATTCTCGAAGTAGGTAAGACTAGTACTACATTTTATTAAGTCATTGTAAGGATTAAATGTGCTATGCATGTCGTATGCTCAGGAGGGTGTCTGGCACAGAGTACTCAATAAGTGGTACCTATTACTGTAATTATGATTCTACCAGGCTTGCTTAGATGGGGATGAGGGGAGAGAAAATGAATGTGGCTTTCAGCATCACAGAAAGTACCCTGCTGTCAGCCAACATATTACAACACAGTCTCTGGTTGCTACGTGTGTTATTTCTTCACTGGCCTTCCTGGAGTCACTAAATTTAGCGGAAATGGTCTGTTGCCTGATGCAGTGACCACAGTCTTCTATCTGCATTAGCCCTTTCCCAGAGTATAGGTATTAGTAACCGCTTTTCAAAAGTGAAAGCTCAAATAGTCTTATGTTTGCAATCCTGAGAAAGGAAGTCCTGAAAGTTCCCAGGAGCCTTAAGAGCGGTGGATTTTCCTTCTGATAATGCTGCTAGGAACCAGGTCAAGCAATAGAGACCCACGCTGGGGCCATCAAGACTAATAGGGGTAGCTTTTCTTCCCTCCTCCTAAGCCAAACACCTTTGATCAGGGTGAACGGACAATCATCAAAAAAGTTGTCAAGGTCCTCTGGCTTGCTAACATGCCAAGAGGCCAGGTCACCATTGATAGCTCCACACTTTAACCTCAGCTACAAATGACATGCTCTCTGGCTACTCTCCTGGCCTCTCCTAAGGAGAGAGAGCCAGGTCCAGAGAACATCAGAAAGGATTGCCCCAGATACAGAATTAATGGCACTGCTCAAGGAAAGGAAAGAGAGGTAACTCAGAGTTTTAAAAAAGGCCTACTGGGCTGGTCCAAGTACAATAGTGTTTACAAGTAATTGATCACTACCAGTTACCGATTTCTTTGTTCCTTTTCCACTCCCACAATTTCACTTCACTAGCCTAAAAAAAAAAAAAAAAAGAAAGAAAGAAAGAAAGAAAAAAAAGAAAAGAAAAAAAGGAAAAAAAAGAGGCCTGTTGGGAAGGCTTGGGAGGACTAGTCAGCCATATGTCCAGGAGATCCAAAAGATTCTGGCCAGCTGCCTAATCGCACCAGCACAATTACTGACAGAGCTACTTTCAGTTTTGTCACTGGCCTCCATTGCACAGTCTGAGGTTCCAGCTTTAAGTAGCTTCCTGTTGTCCTGGGCACCTGAGGGTCTGTCGGAAGGCTAACAGAGGCAGGATTATGGATGTGGCTGCAGACAGAAGAATGGGGTAATGTAAGGGAGAGATGAGGGGAGGAGTTTAGGATGGACCCCAGCAATTTCTCCATTCAATATCCAGCCCCACCCTGTGACTAGGAAAACAAAGGTACTGGGGGAAGGGGAGAAGAAAAGTCATTTCCTTTATTGTAACTGTAGCCCAGCTGGGTAAGAGCAAGGCTGGAAGGGGGCCTTGAAGAATGAATTTCTCTGAGTAGCACAGAGGGAGAGTCCTCCTCCCAGCAGGCCTGCACTACTCAGGTACTCTAAATTCATCAGAGAAACACTGGCAAGCTGGCGTGGGAGAGATCTTACAAGACCATTCAGGTTGATGCCCCATGTTCCTCAAAACCCAGGTTATCTCTGGGGTCAGACAAATACAATCCTTCCTAGCCCTGAAGATTTTCCTCCAACTGGGGCAAAAGTCAAATTAGATCCAAAAGACAGTCACTCTCCCCAGGGCAAATTACCAGGCTCTATCTGAGGGCGCCGTGACATCCAGTTTGAATTTACCAGGGGAAAGCTCAGAAGTCAGGAGATGTGCTCCTTCAGCACAGCTGGATTAGAGTCTCTGTCCTCAAGGTAAAGCTGCAACTAGGAGACAGAACCTAGATACTCTACTTCCTCCACGGGAATGATATTTGGCTTGATTGTGTCAGGGTAGTTCAAAGTTGCCCTTAATCCCTGGGGCTCCACATCAGATCACCAATGAATGTGTAATAAGAGAAATGTATACATATAGGTGTATATAGACACACACTCACAACATAATATAAAGTGACAGTTACTGATTATTAAGGGTTTTTTTTTTCATTTGTTTTGTTTTGAGACAGGGGTTTCACTCTGTCCCCCAGCTGGATGGAGTACAGTGGCATGATCACAGCTCACTACAGCCTTGATATCCCTGGGCTCAGGTAATCATCGCTCCTCAGCTTCCCAAGTAGCTGGGACTACAGGTGTGTGCCATCACGCCTGGCTAATATTTTTGTATTTTTTGTAGAGGTGGAGTTTTGCCATGTTGGCCAGGCTGGTCTCAAACTCCTGGGCTCATGGGCTCAAGCGATCCTTCTGCCTCGGCCTCCCAGAGTGCTAGGATTACAGGCATAAGCCACCACGTCCGGCCCTATTAAGAGTTTTCTATATGTCAGATGCTATGCTAGCCACTTTATATAGGTTATCACATTTAATCCTCCCTAACAACCATGTGGCATGAGTAATATTCTTATCCTCATTTTACAGATTGGTGCCTGAAGCTCAGGGAAGTCACTTAAGGCTAGTTAATAAATTGCAAAGCCAGGATTTAAAACCATAGTCTCATTCCATAGCCTGTACTCTTGGTGGTGGTTGTTTTTTTGCGATGGAGTTTCCCTCTTGTTGCCCAGGCTAGACTGTAATGGCACAATCTCGGCTCACTGCAACTTCTGCTTCCCGGATTCAAGCGATTCTCCTGCTTCAGCTTCCCAAGTAGCTGGGATTACAGGCATGTGCCACCATGCCAAGCTAATTTTTTTCTGTATTTAGTAGAGATGGGGTTTCACCATGTTGGTCAGGCTGGTCTCGAATTCCTGACCTCAGGTGATCCACCTGCCTTGGCCTCCCAAAGTGCTGGGATTACAGGCGTGAGCCACCACGCCTGGCCTGCCTGTACTCTTATCTACCATGCTAACGTGTCTACTTCCTCTTTATGTATTTGTGTACATATGTTATCTTTCTGTCTCTATCTCACACACACACACACACACACACACACACGCACGCACAGAGCTAACAAGCTAGCATCTGACTAGACCTACAAATGACCCAAGAGTTCAGTGCTAGGGCCAGCTCTTGTCATCCATGGCCTGAGCAAGTCTTTTTGGTTTCAGGCCTCATCTGTGATATGAATGGGTTATACCATATAGTGGGTGGTTTCTTCTAGTTCTGAAGTTTTTTAGCTCTAAGAGAATCCAGAAATTCCAAAGATTAACTTGCTCTACCCTGTCCTGCTTATTTTGGATAGAAAATATTCATACACATAGGAAAACAGCAAGAATATGAACATATGGGTTACATGCCAAGGCGAGACCCAATCTGTGAACTCATTGGGTTTTGACGTTACTTATTAGTCCCAGCTATAAAATGAAAGGACCAGCCAAAGGCTTTAACTATAAGGTCCCTTACAGCTCTGACATTCTCTGCTCCTGTCATACTAAATGGAACAGAAAAGACAGAATCAACTTCCCTGGGAGTAAAAGGGGCAAGAACCAAGGCAATAAGATCCACAGAAAAGACTTGAGAGCTCTGAGTTATAGCTGAAAGGAAAGGATAATAATGATGGTTGCTTTCCAACTCTTCCAGAGGCCAGACGTCTCCAGGCCAATCCCCTATATGGTTCCCAGGGAAGAGGCAAGTGTTTAAAGGTCAACTCAATTACTTGGTATAAGCACAGGGATGTTTTACAACAAGAGCTATGTGCAGGAGCTGGAATCTACAGCACAAGGTGCCTGCCTAGTCTATCTCATTCTCAGGATATAGGCACAGCCCTACCACTTCAGACCTTGGGGGCCAGGCATGCCCATCCAGCCTCTGGAGTGGACTGCTCTTCTTTCCACCAACAAATTTCAACTATTTTACGTTGTGAAGAATATAAAGACAAGTTCCCACCCTTGAGAATTCCAATCCGATGGGAGGAAGGAATAACCATTCACTGGGTGTCTACCATGTACTGGATACACTGCATATATTATTTCATTCAATCTCAACAAGATTATTACCATCCATTTTCCAGATGAAGAAACTGAGCCTCAGACAGCAGGAACAAATCTGATTTGAAGTCTGTATAATTTTTAAGAAACTGAGCTGCCTACAAAAATAATGTAGCTATAGGCAGGGCGCGGTGGCTCATGCCTGTAATCCCAACATTTTGGGAGGCCGAGGCAGGCGGATCACCTGAGGTCAGGAGTTTGAGACCAGCCTGGCCAACAAGGTGAAACCCCGCCTCTACTAAAAATACAAAAATTAGCTGGGCGTGGTGGCAGGTGCCTGGAGTCCCACCTACTAGGGGGGCTGAAGCAGGAGAATTGCTTGAACTCGGGGGGCAGAGGTTGCAGTGAGCCAAGATCACATCACTGTACACCAGCCTGGGCGACAGAGCGAGACTCTGTCTCAATAATAATAACAATAATAATAATAATGTAGCTATAATAAAGCTAGTAACAAAAAGTAGGAACCTAGGGAGGCAACCTGTGGTGAGGAAGAGCTGGCTCTGCCAACCACACTAAAAACAACTCTTGGCTGGGCACAGTGGTTCACGCCTGTGATTCCAGCACTTTGGGAGGTCGAGGTGGGTGCATCATTTGAGGTCAGGAGTTCAAGACCAGCCTGACCAACATGTTGAAACCCCCGTCTCCACTAAAATACAAAAATTAGCTGCGCATGGTGGCAGGTGCCTGTCATCTCAGCTACTCAGGAAGCTAAGGCAGAAAAATCACTTGAACCCAGCAGGCAGAGATTGCAGTGAGCCGAGATTGCACCACTGCACTCCAGCCTGGGCAACAGCAAGAATCCCTCTCATAAAATAAAATAAAATAAAATAAAATAAAATAAAATAAAATAAGAATACAAACAACTCTTGAAGTACCTGCATAATCTGTAGTGCAGCCACAGGAAAGTCACTCTTCCTGGGCCTCAGTTTCCTCACCCATAAAGTGAGGGATATGGGACAACCCTGGAAAGGGCTCCTCTCATCCCCCCACCCTGCCTCCAGCTGGCCCATTTATGGCTCTTCCAATTTAACCTGGGTTCAGGGGGGCCACACTTGAGGTTTGGTCATGAGCTCTTCCTTGGTACATTCCTTTCCCCACCCTAAGATTGAAATTCTCAACTCAGAAGCTTGTTTCTGTGTTTTCCATCAGAACATGAAATAGTGCTTGGCCCATAGTACACTGGTAAAGATGGGAGGATAGGCCCACCTACCGGAAGCAAGAGCCGTGCCAGGTTTCGTTGACAGTCCTGTACCATATCTGGCTTGGAGCAATGTGGTCCCCACAGCCTGGACACCTCCAGACATCTTCACCTGCACACAAAACCAAGAGGTTGAGAGGCCCAAAGTAGCAGGAGGCAAAGGGACAGGATTCCTACCATGTAGAATAAGACTGAGTTAACAGCATCTCATTTGAAAGGGTTAGGCCAATGCTCTGCTAGATGCACAGTTTCTGCCTCCACAAGATCTCTGGTAAGCACTTGTCCAACCTCTGCTCATCTCTCCAGGGACAAGGAACTCATGGCCTCAAAAGTAGTCTCATTCCATTTTCTAAAAATGGTTCTGATTATCCTTTTTTCTACTGAAACAAAACTTGCCTTTTTCTAGAACTTTCAGCCTTTGCTTATAGCTCTGAGAAGAAGAAACGAACACAATCTCCTTCTTTTCAGTGTCAGCCCTTCCTATGACTATTCCCAGCCAACAGCCAGAAACTTCTCTCTGGGTTAAACATGTTACTGCCTTTTCCTATTCCTCAAAAGCCCTGTTTTTTCAGATTTTTCCATCACCTAATCCAAGAGCTCATTTACTCAACCAACATTGAATAAATTGGTCCTCTAGATCAGCAGTCCTCAACCTTTTTGGCACCAGGGGCCAATTTTTCCACGGACCCTAGGCTGGGGGTTGGGGGGCGGGGGGATGGTTTTGGTATCAAACTGTTCCAACTCAGATCATCAGCCATTAGTGAGATTCTCATAAGGAGCATGCAACCCAGATCCCTTGCATGTGCAGTTCACAATAGGGTTCACACTCCTATGAGAATCTAATGCCACCACTGATCTGACAGGAGGCAGAGCTCAGGCAGCAATGCTCACTGGCCCGCCGCTCACCTCCTGCTGTGCAGCCTGGTTCCTAACAGGCTACAGACCCGTACCAGTTGGCGGTCCAGGGGCTGGGGACCCCTGTTCTAGATACAAAGCTCTTTGTATGTTGGAGGCTGTTAGATTACATAATCTCTGCTCCTTAAGAAGCAAATCCACTGGAAAAGAACTGCTCTTTCATGTTGTTGATTTTTCACTTGGATGTTATTTCAGAGATAGAACCAAGTATTATTTTAGTTCAGAAAAAGAAAAGTAATGGGTATAAAAGGGGAAGAACAAATATTTAATGAATGCCTCCTATATGCCAAGAACTCTGCTAGGTGCTTTCATAGACCTAATCTCATTTAATTCTCAAAATAATCCTGTGACACAGGTATTATTATATTCACTTAATGGATAGGAAAATTAAAACTTGAGGCAGGGGGCAGGGTTGACTAGCTAAGTGGTGGATCTAGCATTCATACTCAGGTCTGGCTCATTCTAAAGCTTCTGCTCTTTCCATTCTACCATGTCAACTCTTGTTCACTCCAATGAGGGGAACCAGGAAAGTCTTTGTAGAGGAAGCTGACACTTGAGCTGAGCCTTGCAAGATAGGGAAGACTTACCTATCACTGGCTGAGAAAGGAGGGTGAAGGGTTGTGTGAGCTCAGAGACCAGCATAGACAAAAGCACAGAGTCGGTCCATGTTCCTCCAAAAAGAGAGGCCTCAAACAAAATACAATACTCCTGGTATGGCTCAGATGTCAACTTCTTGAAATAAAGAGGACAGCTGAGATCAAGCTGTGGTACCTGACTCAGCCCTAGAAAGCAGGACAAGGTTGTTACAAGACTCCCTTGTGCGCTCTGTGTATGCAGCTTTGTTCTCTCTGGGTAACTACAGACTGCCACAGGCACAGTGACAGTCACCGAACCCTGTTTCACAGGCACAGGGGCCATGAATAGACAAAGCACAGCTCCTGGCACTTCAAGATTGCTCAACATCATTCTGGAGCAGCCAATGTACACAGTTGTCCCCCTCGTTCCCCAGAGAAGAGTTAAACAAGCTGGCAAGAGGCCTTAAAACACCACCTCAACCCACCCATTCCACTCTTCTCATGCCTCAGTAATAGGATATATATATGCCCATCACTCATTCTTCCTGGGTCTAAAATCCTCAGACTCCTTGTCAAGAGGGGCCTTTTTGGTTTTAGGGTGACAGTGGTCACAGAGTATGCCATCTCTCTCACAAACTCCAAGGCAGAAAGTCTGAGAGACTCACTCAAACCAATCCCAGGTTGGGTTACGGACAGTGGACAAGACAATGAATTAGTGAGAGATTTTAATGAACACAAACATCCAAATGAATCTTCCAAGTTTTGGAAATATTTTTGGAACTCTTACATGTAAGAGCTTTCAGGGTCAGTTTATGAGCTGCCATGCCCCACCCCCAGCACATCTCATTATTTTAGAGCCACACCTTGTTTCTTGTTTTTACTTTTTAACCCAAAATTAAGTCTGTAACCTGACCACCCACTTACTCAACAATTCAATCTCTTGGCTCTGAATGATTTCTATTTCCAAAATTCAAACAGGATCAGGACTTTCCACCATGAGGATATTCAAGATAACTTGTTATTGCCATACCCTCCAGAGCTTGCCCTGCTTTCTCCAGTCTTGAGAAACCCAAAGACATTCAATCAACACATACTTTAGTACCTGCTTTGGGTTAAGCATGAAAGACCCGAAATCAAGACCCTCTACTCTCTCCTCTCATATCCACCTGGTTTCACTTTCCAAATGTCTCTCTAGCCCTTCCCTGTCCTTCACCCCAGCCCTACTTCAGATTTTTGGCTTCTTTTCCCTATCTGCTGTACTCAGCTGGCTCATCCACACTGCAAGCTATCTCAGCTCTGGGTTAGACTCCCCAGTGTCCACGGAACAAAGGCTGGGCTACTCGGTATGACACCCCTGTTCTGGATCCCATTCCATCTTACTTCTTAGAAGAAGTGCACTTTTAGTTATCTTTACAGCACCCCTCTCCCTCACTGGCTCCTCCTTATCTTTTAAATAAGTTCAAGTCACTGCCATCAAAAAAACCTCTGGTACTCTCGCTTCAGCAGCACATACATTAAAATTGGACTGAGACACAGAAGGTTAGCATGGCCCCTGCGCAAGGATGACATGCAAACTCGTTAAGTTTTAAAATCTAATTTAGTTTTAAAATCTAATTTTAAAAAAAACCAAACCACTGGATCCTTTTCTCCTCTAGCTACCATCCTTGTTTCTCCCCTTCACAGCCACATGTATGAAAAAGTTGTCTTGGGAGGCCAAGGTGGGTGGATCACTTGAGGTCAGGAGTTTGAGACCAGCCTGGCCAACATGGTAAAACCCCACCTCTACTAAAACTACAAAAATTGGCTGGGCATGGTGGTGCACGCCTGTAGTCCCAGCTACTCAGGAAGCTGAGGCAGGAGAATCGCTTGAACCCAGGAGGTGGAGGTTGCAGTAATCTCGCCACTGCACTCACGCCTGGGCAACAGAGCGAGACTCTGTCTCAAAAAAAAAAAAAAAAAAAAAAAAAAAGAGGCTGGGCACGGTGGCTCATGCCTGTAATCCCAGTACTTTGGGAGGCTGAGGCGGGTGGATCACCTGAGGTCGGGAATTTGAGACCAGCCATGACCAACATGGAGAAACCACATCTCTACCAAAAATACAAAATTAGCCAGGCATGGTGGTGCATGCCTGTAATCCCAGCTACTCAGGAGGCTGAGGCAGGAGAATGGCTTGAACCCGGGAGGCAGAGGTTGCAGTGAGCTGAGATCTCGCCATTGCACTCCAGCCTGGGCAAGAGTGAAACTCCAACTCAAAAAAAAAGAAAAAAGAAAAAAAGTTGTCTACACATCGCTGCCCTCATTTCCTCACTTCCCACTTTCTGCATAATGCACTGCAATCTGGCTTCCACCCCCACCATTTCTCTGAAACTGTCTCACCAAGGTCAACAGTAACAGTAACTGCTTATTGCTAAATTCAATGGACCCGCTTCAGTCATTCTTTCAGCAAATATTTATTGCATGCCAACTATGCATCTGACACTGTGTTGGGGAAAGAGGAGCAAACAAGAGAGAGATTAAACACAAAGCAAATATTAAACAATAATATAATTATTTATTGAGGGCCGGGCGCAGTGGCTCACGCCTGTAATCCCAGCACTTTGGGAGGCTGAGGCAGGTGGATCACAAGGTCAGGAGTTCGAGACCAGCCTGGCCAATATGGTGAAACCTTGTCTCTACTACAAATACAAAAATTAGCCAGGCATGGTGGTGGGCGCCTGTAGTCCCAGCTACTCAGGAGGCTGAGGCAAGAGAATTGCTTGAACCTGGTAGGCGGAGGTTGCAGTGAGCCAAGATCATTCCACTGCATTCCAGCTTGGGCGACAGAGCGAGACTCTGTCTCAAAAAATAATAATTATTATTATTATTTATTTATAATTGGGGCAAGTGGTACGAAGATATCAAGTTCATAACTAGGAAAAGGGCGGGCGGCCAAAGTATTCCTTGAGGAAGTAATTTCCAAGCTGAGCTCTAAAGGATGAATACAAATTAACGGGGCAAAAAAGGGGGGAAGGAAGGCTAACACTGGAGAGGGGGGACATGTGCAAAGGCCCTGGGGCAGGAACAAAAACTTCTCACACATCATTAAAGTTGGCTTTTGCTACCTCCAAAGGGCTAGCAAACCATGTCTGGCCCCTGGTCTGCTACAATCCTTCAATAAACAGTTACTGAAAGAGCAAATGGTCCTTACAATGTGGTCCCAAAGGACCCTTCTCTCTCACCATTCCTTACAAAAGAATGCTCTAGTTACATTTTGACCTATTTTCTATTCCTGCCACTTTTATTCATGTACTTGCATCCTGACATTCACACCTCCAGTTATTCTCTATGTATAAGCTTCTCTATCTTTTCCCTTAATCAAAAAAAAAATTTTTTTTTTTGAAACAGAGTTTTGCTTTTGTTGCCCAGGCTGGAGTGCAATGGCACAATCTCGGCTCACCACAACCTCCGCCTCCCAGGTTCAAGTGATTCTCCTGCCTCAGCCTCCCGAGTATAGCTGGGATTGTGGGCATGCGCCACGACGCCCGGCTAATTTTGTATTTTTAGTAGAGACGGAGTTTCTCCATGTTGGTCAGGCTGGTCTCAAACTCCCAACCTCAGGTGGTCTGCCCACCTCGGCCTCCCAAAGTGCTGGGATTACAGGCGTGAGCCACTGCTCCCGGCCCCTTAATCAAATTTCTATCCTTTCTTTAAAGTTCCCTAAAATCAGGCAGTGTTTGTTTCATTTTGTCTATACCTATTTTACATAATTTGTTATTTAATTACAGTTCACTGCATATGTTTCTCTCTCCTTCAGTCCCTCTCTCTCCACTCTCCTCCCCCACACCCCATTCAGAGAACTAAGGTGTAAGAACTGTATCTTTATTATGTTCTTATCTCCAGGGCCTAACCTTGGGCCTGGTGCAAAACAGACATTCCTTTGTGTGGTGAACCCAACTGAAAATTTGGATCCAACTGCCAGCTATAAAAGCAATTTCCAAAGATAAGTTCCAAAGGTCAGCACAGATGATTCCACTGGAATAACTGTTCTGGCTCCCAGATTACCTATGAGTAGTCTCATGTGGATAAACCTGGCCTCAGTTTACCTGTTATGCATTCACACTGCTTTTCTGTTAGGAAGTACCTGAGCAAAGATATTCACCCAAAGCACACAGCCTCCTACGCCCAGACCCTCTTCAAGAGAACACTCTTGACTTCTTTAGCTCTCTTACAGTCTTAAAAATTCATTGATCTATTCTCTTACCACCTTTATTCTAGGAAATGTAAAAGAAATGTAATACTGTAATGCAAAGTCTTAGGGATTTCTGTGAAGCCTAGTGGAGGATCAATCCAAAGTCCAGTCAGCCTGGGAAGTTCTTTCTTAAGAAAATATCTCATTGTACCAGGCTGTTCATTCTCTCCCTCTATAGTGTTTACCTCTCATATTTGCAGACTTATCAACAGTGGCTACTGATTGTTAAGAGTCCAGAAAAGAGCCGGGCGTGGTGGCTCACGCCTGTAATCCCAGCACTTTGGGAGGCCGAGGCGGGTGGATCACGAGGTCAAGAGATCAAGGCCATCCTGGCTAACACGGTGAAACCCTATCTCTACTAAAAAATACAAAAAATTAGCCGGGCATGGTGATGGGCGCCTGTAGTCCCAGCTACTCGGGAGGCTGAAGCAGGAGAATGGCATGAACCCGGGAGGTGGAGCTTGCAGTGAGCCGAGATCGTGCCACTGCGCTCCAGCTTGGGCGACAGAGCCAGACTCTGTCTCAAAAAAATAAAATAAAATAAAAAAAAGAAGAGTCCAGAAAAGGAGCTTGATTTAAGTAAATGTTCACAGTACCTTCAAACAATAAAGGACCCTTATTAGGTGTTTAATAAACAGAAAACTGTGTTTTCAGTTATTATTGGAATTTGTTGCTTTTAATAAGTGCAACTGTGCAACGTAAGGTGAGCACTGCAACAAATGTCTCATTATAGGGGTTCTCACCTTTAAGACCTTTTCAATCTTGGTATAAAATACATTCACTTTACATTCACTTTATGAATGCTTCTCTCTCCCAACTTAATTAGCAATGTGGCCCTCAAACAAATGTGAATCCACTGGGGCAGGCGCCAAAAAAAAAAGAAGGAAAATAGACTTGCCTAACCACCACAAAGCTACTGAAAGATGGTCCAGGAGGGATTCAAACCCATGCTCAGAGACTACCATGCCAGTCATATTTTTAATACCCTATGCAGCCTCAGACAAGTTGAGACTTGCTCAAGAACACACAGCTATTCAGTGGAAGGGTTGGCCTGGTATCCCAGCTCAGAGCCAATGCAGTCCCCACAATGTTCACCTTAAATTTGGTCTAAGAGCTTGGTTTCTGCAAATGAGTCCTTTTTAGGCTTCAAAATGGTGAGAAATCCTCAAGCACTGAGAGCTCATGAGACTCTAATGCCTAGCTTAAATCAACATCCTATCCTTTCATTTAAAAAAATCTTTGAAGCTTCTCACGTTCCACCAGACAACGAGAACCAGGAACAAAACTCAGCCAATTCAGTGCAGCATAAAACAAGTATGGTAACCCCTGGGCCCCTTGGGAACTGGCGGGTCAGGTGTATAAATCCCACTTGTTCTGGGACAAAGCAGAAAGCAGAAGGGCAGGGCAGCAGCTGCTGGGGAAAAGCCAAGAGAAAAAGATCACATTTTAATGAAGTGACTATCAAAAAGACTAACAGTAAGGATTAACATGCCTCTAGATACTCTCCCTGTAACCCAAAGGGTTTTCTTCCTCACTAGCTTACCAAATTTTACCAAAAGGAGTGTCTCAGGAAAAAAAAAGATTAGATGATTTTTAAAAGAGCTTTCGAGCTTCTCTAAACCTTGGATTGTTCTTTTGTAAAAGGAGGGATCAAGTGATTTCTTCCAGCTCTGAGAGACTGACACCAAACCAAGGGCCTCTCCTTTTTCAGGTTAAGGCACAGACACAGGTATCTCAGAAAGTTTCCTTCTTGCTGTTATTCTCTTCTTCCCTTCTTTGGTTTATTTGGAAAAATTTGTGAGGGGTAAATGTATGTGTGTTTGAAACCTGAATCTGTCACTGTTTGCCTCTGTGTCCTTGGGCAAATTATTTGACCTCTCTGAGCTTGTCTCCTAATCTTTAAAAAGAGGATAATACCACCTGCTTTACAGGATTACCAAGTGGATTAATAGAAATAATGTAATAGATGTGAAAATATCTCCCATGGTGCCAGGCACTTAGTTGGACCGATTTGTGACTAACTTCTCTTCCTTCCTGCGTGTGTATCTAGGAAGTTGGCTGGGGAAAAGGTTAAGCTGAATACAGAAACTTCTAAAATCTGAAGGGAAGGTTTTCAAAACAAACTCAGCAAACTTTTTTCTATGTGCCCATGTACAAGGCACAGAGTAGGCCAGGAATTACTGGGGCCCTTGGTGTGTACTCATGGGGTGTGAAGGACATGGATATACACAGAAATAACATGTCAGAGAGGGACAAACCAGGTGCTACAGGCAAGGCAAACTCAGTACATTAACAAAATACACTGCAGTGACAAATGAGACAGATGGTTCTTATGTCTTTCAGGCCACCCAGACTGCAACTTCCAACCAGAAGTTCACTCAACTGTGAATGAGTAGGCATTTTCTTATCTATGGAGGGCCTATAAAAATATCTTTATCAGAGAACTGGTTAACCAATTGATATATTCTCATACAGCAGTTCTCTGCCAGTTGTCAATGATAGAGGAAAAAAACTACTTTATGCCAGACAATGTCCTAAGCACTACGCAAGTATGAGCTAACTGAATACAAAGATCCCATGAGATCAGGACTAGTCTTAAAGAACTATTATTGTTCTCATTTTACGGAAGAGGAAACTGAAATACTCAGCTAATAAATGTTTGAGCTGGGATTAGACCACAGGTCTAGTCTCCAAAGCCTGTCTTTTTTTTTTTTTCTGAGACGGAGTCTCGCTCTGTCACCCAGGCTGGAGTGCGGTGGTGCAACCTCGGCTCACTGCAACCTCTGCCTCCCAGGTTCAAGCAATTCTCTGCCTCAGCCTCCCGAGTAGCTGGGATTACAGGCACCTGCCCCCATGCCCGGCTAATTTTTGTATTTTAGTAGAGATGGGGTTTCACCATCTTGGCCAGACTGGTTTGAACTCCTGACCTTGTGATCCACCCACCTCAGCCTCCCAAAGTGCTGGGATTACAGGCGTGAGCCACTGCACCTGGCTCAAAGCCTGTCTTTAACTACATTTTAGACTTTCTTTCCTGGACAAAACAAATTACAGGCAGAAAGACATGATAAAAAAGAATCCCAGAAAGAATGTTCAAGGAACACTTTAATGAAACCAGGCATTGGTTTCATGTTCTAGTTACTATTCAATGTAAATTAATAGGTAAAATAGTCTAATTCTTTCTACTATATAAAAATAGATAAAGGATGAGAAAGAAGGTAGACTTGTAAGAGACTGCTACAGTTTCAGGTCCTCTCATTGAAATGAGATGTGTGTGATGGTGGGCCCTATCAGACCCGCTCAAGGTTACACTAACAAGAAGGCAGCCCTGTTCTGGGAATCAGCTCAGCCTCCAGAAGATGCAGAAAATCCACCATGAATGTGGAAAGCCTAATACAGCCCCTTGATCATGACGGATTTTTATTTAGTTTTGAAATCTTGTGGTCATTTTGGACCCTACCCTGCTCCATCACATATCCAGGACCATCCAAGTCACCCTGGCCTGCCTATGTCAGGAGGCATCTTTTATTGGTTGGTGCCTTCTTCATTGCTACCACTAAGACCTCATCTCAGGGCCCACTATACCCACCTCCAGATTGGTGGCCCTGTGCCCACATCATGAGTCTTCCTTTCTCTAAACCTACGGTGCCTACTGTAGACTAGAAACTTCCAAAATCCTCAGCCTGGCATTAAACCCTCTAGTCCGGTTGCACCCACATTCTCAGCTGTACCTTCCACTTCCTATGAATCTTCCACCTCCCAATCCTTGCCTCTACCACACGTATTTGCTACCCTTTATGAAGACCTGAAACTTGCCTACTTTTGTCTCCTACTCCCAAAGTTTCTTCCCTACTAAGATATCATCTTCCCCACCTTCTTTAAGCCTATTTAAGATTTCTCAAGTCTTACCCACTTCAAGAAGTATTCCCTAACCAAAACTGATGGCCACCCTGGATACCCTGCTATTCTTTAAACATGCCAAACACATTCCCTGACAACTCACTTCTTCTATCCCCTTACCCTACTTCACTTCTCTTCAATGGATTTATCCCTGAATATGATGTTCATACATTTACTTGCTGTCTATCTCTCCCCACCAGAACATACACTACATGAGGGAAGGGATTTGGTCTATCTTGTTCCTTGCTGTATCCCTAGGGGCCAAAAGAGTTTAGCACATAGCAGGAACTCAATATATATTTGTGGAATAAATGTTTGAAGAGAATTCTCCCTCATCTTTGAAATTCTATAATGTTATCATACGCAAGCCTTATAACAGCTTGTCTTATCAATTTTTTTCTTTTTTTTAAGAGATGGGGATCTTGCTATGTAGCCCAGGCTGGAGTGCGGTGGCTTTTCACAGGCGCAATCCCACTACTGATCAGCATGGCAGTTTTGTTTTTTGCCTTAATTACCTTAACTAGACAGTAAGTTTCTCAGAGGCACAAACTATATATAACTCATTTCCACAAATACTTATTAAGGGCTTACCATGTGCCAGACCCTGTACGTCTTAAGCAGCCTGGAATACTGGAAAGAACACTGCAGAAGTCTTACCTTGGTTCTGGCTCTACCACTAGTTGAGTGACCCTGGACAACTCCGTTTTTTTTCCCTGAGCCTCAGTTTCTTCATAGGTAAAACAAGGAGACTATACATTATCTCAAAACTCTCTCCTGGCTCTAACACCTGTTAAAATTTATAAGAGGTAAAACTTGGTCCTGCCCAGTGCCACAGACATCACAGGCACTCAGTAAATATTTGATTTGTTATCGATTCTCCGGTTACACGAGGAATCTGAGGTGTCTCAGAACATGGTTTGAATGGAATAACAAGTGAAAGTTTAAGTCCCACTTCCTTCTCAGACTCCATAGTCAACTTCATTCTGCTTTTTGTGCTACAGAGAGGAGGAAGCACTAAACTTGAAGTTGGAAAATATGAACTCTGACCACCACTGCTCATTTAGCTATGGAACCTTGTCATTTCTGGGCCTGTCTCCTCATCTATAAAAAAGCCATACTTGGCTGGGCATGGTGGCTCACGCCTATAATCCTAGCATTTTGGGAGTCCAAGGCGGGTGGACTGCCTGAGCTCAGGAGTTTGAGACCAGCCTGGGCAACATGGTAAGACCCCGTCTCTAATAAAAATACAAAAAATTAGCTGGGCGTGGTAGCACTTGCCTGTAGTCCCAGCTACTCAGGAAGCTGAGGCAGAAGATTCACTTGAACCTGGGAGGTGGAGGGTACAGTGAGTCTGGATCGCGCCACTGTACTCCAGCATGGGCAACAGAGCAAGACTCTTCCTCCCCACCCCCTACAAAAAAATCAAAAAACCATATTGACCTCCCAGCTCCAAGGCTCAAAGGCACTACATGCCTTCCTACCCTAGGGCCTTTTTATGCTGTTTCCTCTGCCTGGAATGCTCTGTGAGCTTTTTTTGCCAGGCTAACTTTTACTTATCTCCAGGGGTCAGCATAAACTTGCATTTTTAAGAAAAGTATTCCCTTCAAAAAAAAAAAAAGTAGAGGATGGGCATGGTGGTTCATGCCTGTAATCCCAGCACTTTGGGAGGTTGAGACAGGAGGATGGCTTGAAACCACCGTGGGCAACATAGTGAGACCCTGTCTCTACCAAAACAGAAAAAAAAGTAGAGAAAACCCTCACCCCTGGTGCACTCTTACAGCACTTATCTCAATTGTTTACCTTAACTATTATAGCATTTATTGCAATTGTTACAATTATTTATTGTCCATCTCTAGGATTATTAAGCACCACAAAGCCAAGAACTATGTCACCACTGTACTCAGCATTTGGCTAAGTATATGACACAGAAGAATCCAACAAATATTCTTTGAATGAAAGAAAGAATGCATAAACTAATGCATCTAGAGGCTTTATGCCTCTAGACTATTGTACTGTGAAACCTTTCACAATTTTCTAAGAAACAGGGTTCAAGACAGGCAACCTATATTACACAGCTGTTAGAAAAAGTTACTGGAAATCGGCCGGGTGCGGTGGCTCACGCCTGTAATCCCAGCACTTTGGGAGGCCGAAGCGGGCGGATCACAAGGTCAGGAGTTCAAGACCAGCCTGGCCAATATGGTGAAACCCCATCTCTACTAAATATACCAAAAAAATTAGCCGGGCGTGGTGGCGGGCCCCTGTTGTCCCAGCTACTCGGGAGGCTGAGGTAGGAGAATCGCTTGAACCCGGGAGGCAGAGGTTGCAATGAGCCAAGATTGTGCCACTGCACCCCAGCCTGGGCGACAGAGCAAGACTCCATCTAAGAAAAAAAAAAAAAAGTTACTGGAAATCATTCGAGTTGAAGGACTCTGTAAGCTTAAAAAAAATCTTTTTTAAGAGACAAGGTTTTGTTTTTAAGAGATGAAGTCTCGCTATATTGCCCAAGCTGGTCTCAAACTCCTGGACTCAAGCGATCCTCCTGCCCTGCCCTCCCAAAGTGCTGGGATTACAGGCATGAGCCACCACGCCCAGCCTAAAAAAATTTGTTTTAGGCATTTCCACCCCTAGCTCTCTCCAGAAGTCTGTTATCACCAGTGAAGAGAAAATCCCATGCTCCCTTGCTGAGGAAGTGACCCACTGGTAGCCCAGTCCTTGCATTCAAGATGAAGGAAGTGACTGTCCACAGACGGAAAGCCAGGAAGCAGGGGGCAGATAGCCAGCCCCCCTCCACCTCAATACCCTCTTGCCGCCTCTCCAAAGCTTCTGGACGCTGACCCTGGTGGACCCAGAGGTGGGCCACCCACACAGGTGGCTGGGAAACATAGGAGACAGAAGGTTCCTACTGCTGGGGGAAAAGATGGGGAAGGCAGGAAGCTGCAGGGTGGTGTGTGAGGTGGCGGGGAGGTGACTGCAGGTGCAACTAACCCAACTCTGAAGCTACCCTTCACCCTTAGACAACTCTTCCTTCCAGGAGGTGTTTGGCCGAATCCCTCTAGTCTTTAGTCTAGAGAGGCCAAGGGAGCTTCCACAGGAGGACTCAGAACCCCAGGTGGCCTACTTTCGCCACCTGTAGCAGAGATCTTTGGGCCCCAAAAAGAATGGTCCGATCTCTCCTTACCCTTAGTCCTGTCCTAAACCTCAAGGGGCTCCATACTCCCTTATTTTCTGCAAAGAGCTCCCAGCCCCGGGGGACTCCCAGACACCAAGATGCCCGCGAGAAGCCTTGGGTCTTGGCAGGGAAGTCACATCCTCCATTTCCCTCAGAAAACCCAGAACCCGGGGTAACTCTCCTAATTGTCCTGAACCCTAGAGGATCCTGTACTCCTCAAATTCCACAGAGCTTCCACTATAAGAGAACCCCATGCTTTTCAACTTCCTTAAAAAGGGTTAATTTGGGGGTCTGCGGCCGCCAGGTCCCTCCAAAAAGCTGGATTCCTGGCAGACCCAGAATCTCTTCCTCCCCGGGACCTCAACTCGCGGGAAGCCTCCCAACCCGCCTGCCCCTCGGAGCCCTCTGTCTCCAGGATGCCCTGCCTCCCCATTCCCGGAGTCCCACCCTCCAAATGCCTGGGGAGCGCTGTGCCCACCCCGCCTCCCAGCTTTTCTGAGGAGCTCGGACCCACGAGGACCCAACCAGCCCGAAACCCCCGAGAGACAGCCGGTTTCCCTCAGGCGCCATGGAACCGGACTTCGGAGATAACAGCGGGACAGGGCGGAGCAGCCCTTCCTTACCCGCCAGCGCGGACATGGTCCCGGGAGCGCGGAAATGGGGAGGAGGAGGCGGGGGACACAGCAGCTCCCCTCAGTTCCCTACAACTCCCCTCAGCTCCTGCCGCCGCCGCCTCAGGCGCGGGAAGACCACAGCCCCAGGCGCGAACGGGATGCACCGCCTACGGCGCCCTGGGAGGACCAAACCACACCTGGCACAGGGGACTGCCCGCCGACGCCCCGCCCCGCCGCTCTCAGGCCTCGCTCCCGAGACGCGGCCCCGCCCCCTGGCTCTGGCTCGGGCTCTGCAGCGGCCCTGGCGCCCCCTAGTGCGAGCGGCGTCCCCTCGAGGTGCTCCCGCCGGTAAGGTTGATTCTGCGGGGGCCGGAAGTCTCAACACGGATGACAGTCCGCACCCATCTAGTCGCCCTCATTTACAGATAGGGAAAGTTAAGGATCAGAGGCTAAGTTCGACTACATTGAAATGGCTTCGCTCATTAGGAGGAGAGCCGGGATGGGAGCCCAGGCCTGCTAACTGCCAGTTCAGAGCTCTTTCCAGTAGTGTTTGGAATCAGGAATATTACAATGGAGGAGCCAGGTCTATCCCACAAACAGCTTTGAGGATGGACTTTTCTTAGAAGCTTCTAGCTCAGAGAAACCACTTCTCTGCGCCACTATGAGTAAGCTGACAGTAAATAATCTCTAAGTCAAAGACAGTTGGAGGCGACCAACCAGCATTCCAGGAGCAGATCCTCAGCCAGGCCAATTAGGTTTAGCGCAGGACGCTGGAGCTTGTGCGCCGCATTGGAAGACGAGCACTCCCCTG
Source organism: Homo sapiens (assembly GCF_000001405.40). Taxonomy (NCBI): domain Eukaryota; kingdom Metazoa; phylum Chordata; class Mammalia; order Primates; family Hominidae; genus Homo; species Homo sapiens. The sequence continues at coordinate 31,211,622 of NC_000022.11, read as the reverse complement.
CAGGAACATGGGCCTACCATTCCCAGGTCTTCCAACCTTTCAAAACATGCCAAAAATCCAGATATTTAGGTGAAATTTGCCACTTTTAAAAAATGTTGATAGCATCAAAAAGTTCTTAAAATGCCATGTAGACCAAATGAAACACACCTGGCCACTAGATTTGCCCTGTGGGCTGCCAGTTTACAATCTTCTATGAGGAGGAGGGATTACAGGACTAAGAGTTAGGACAGCTGACTGGGTTATGGCAGCTGCTAGCTGGCTGAGTAGCTTTGAGAACCACTTCCGCTCATTAGGTTTGGAAGGAGATTGGGGTCCTCTGTGTGATTAAGATATTAATACATCATCAGCCAGGCCAGCTGGTCCCTGATGACCCACCCTCCCATCAGATTCTCTCACGCTGGGTCTTTCACAATTGTCATTTCCTTACATCAGATTTAGATCACAGGAAACATGTCCAAATGACCAGAAAGAGGATGGAGCCCAGGGAAATGGATTCTGTCCCCTCCACCCCCACCCCTGACCAAAGACAAAGTTCAACCCAGCTGCCTCTGGTCCCAGCAGTTGGGTAAGCAAAGGCAAAGGCAAAGACAAAGGCGAGCACAATTCTCTTCCTTCCTGCTCTAATTCAAACCGGATGCCGGTCAGATTTTTCTCTTCTGGGTGTGGCAGGTGGCTCACGATGTCCTGAGTGTGCACAAAGTGCTGGGGAGGAGGGCTCTGTCCCATTTCCGTTAATTCCTGGGAACTCTTTTCAGTACTCAGTTTTGTAGTTTCTGAGGAAATCATTATAGTAAACACAAGATTGTGTATTGAATTAAAGTGACAGGAATCCAGAGACTCTCCTGACAAGCTGCCTCATGGCTAGCAAACAGGGGACAGGGACTTTCCCCATCCTTCCTACAGAAAGATGTAACACTGTATTTTCCCAGGCAACAAAGCACTGGCATCCTGGGAACCAAAACCTCCTGGGTGTCTTCCCTCTCCCTCCGTTCCACACCAAGGCACCCAGGTCTATCTCTTCTCCCTCCTCATTCTCTCTCACATTCCACTTCCTCCTACCTCCAGCCTCATGGTCTTCACCAGCAGGGAGCTGGGGAATAGCCAAGTCCCCCAAGTTCCTCCCAGGGAAGTTCAGGCGACTCTGAGAAACACAAGTTGAAAATGTAATGGAAGGGAATAGCTTTCTATAGAAATGCTATAGCCAAGAGATATATTTTTAATATGGACCCAAAGAACATTCCAGAAATCACTTGTGAACTCAAGGGGGACTTCTGGAGGGTAGAGAAAGCCTGGGCAGGGAGTAGACCAACTGAGTTTCAATAGCACCCAGGTTACCTGTCCACAGTTTGTTTCACTGGCCATAGCTTGGTCAGTCCCTAGGGCCAGATCCTGCCAGCCGCCTCACAGTCAACTCTCTGAGCCTAGGATCCTGAAACCTGGACCTTGAAAAACAACTCAAGGTTCTGCCCTCTTGAAGGTACTGGTCCACTGGTACCCAACCAGACTTGCCCAGTGTCACTTCCACTTGCTTCAAACTGAGCCAGTCTCTGCCCTCCCTGAATCATCCTACCCAAAACTGACTGTGTTAATCTTCCAAAAGTATGTTTCTGGACCTGTCATCTCTCTGTTCAAAACCCTTCAACAGCACCCCACTGCCTACAAAATAAAAGCCAAACCAGTCCTCATGAGCTGACTACATCTCACCCTGCGGACTTGTCTCCCTATTCCCTTCACTCCAGGACTCTGCTTTTTCCTGAGCACATCCTGCCTTGCGCCACCTGCCATTCCTACAACAACCAGCTCTCCAGGTTCTCTGTAATTTTGTGCCCCACTCTGCCCAGAGTGCAGTCTTGTTTCTCAACTCTAAATGATATAGTGGCATCTGTAACATCACAAAGTAGGACTACCAGACATTAAGTGCCTCCAGGTAAGACGCACCAAGTATATACTATCACCTATGACGTAGTCTTACAAAACAAAAATAATAAGCTTGAATCTGGTCAAGCTTCTAGATCTAACAACCAACTTACAGGAAATACATGGAGAAGAGGAGCTTAATAACATTTCCATGATGCAAATAGCAAAAATGATGCTGTGGGAAATGCAACAGGACAAATAACCTAGTTTCTTTAACAGATAAACTGCAGAGTAGAAAAAATTTCATAGACAGGCCAGGCAAGGTGGCTCACCCCTGTAATCCTAGCACTTTGGGAGGCTGAGGCGGGTGGATCATGAGGTCAGGAGCTTGAGACCATCCTGGCTGACATGGTGAAACCCCGTCTGTACTAAAAATACAAAAAAAATTAGCCGGGCGTGGTGGCGGGCACCTGTAGTCTCAGCTACTTGGGAGGCTGAGGCAGGAGAATTGTGTGAACCCAGGAGGTGGAGCTTGCAGTTAGCCGAGATCCCGCCACTGCACTTCAGCCTGGGCAACAGAGCGAGACTCTGTCACACAAACACACACACAAAAAAACAAAAAATTAGCCAGGCATGATGGCGGGCGCCTGTAGTCCCAGCTACCAAGGAGGCTGAGGCATGAGAATCACTTGAACCCGGGAGACGGGGGCTGTAGTGAGCTGGGATCGCATCACTGCACTCCAGTCTGGGCGGCAAGTGAAACTCTGTCTCAAAAAAAAAAAAAAAAAAAATTCAGAGACAAATAATAGCAATGTATGAAACTGATTTGGATCTCAATTGAAACTACACAAGTTATGAGACAACTAGGGAAATCTGAACAATGTGATTGGATATGATGATTTTAAGAAATTTTTTAAAGGTATTTTGCTTTTTTTTTTTTTTTGAGATGGAGTCTTGCTCTGTCGCCCCGACTGGAGTGCACTGGTGCGATCTCGGCTCACTGCAACCTCTGCCTCCCGGGTTCAAGCGATTCTCCTGCCTCAGTCTCCCGAGTTGCTGAGACTACAGGCGCCTACCGCTACGCCTGGCTAATTTTTTGTATTTTAGTAGAGACGGGGTTTCACTATGTTGCCCAGGTTGGTCTCAAACTCCTGAGCTCTGGCAATCCGCCCGCCTCACCCTCCCAAAGTGCTAGGATCACAGGTGTGTGCCATCGTGCCCGGCATATTTTGCTTGTTTTTAAAATACTTGAGATGCATATCGAAATACTTAATAAATGACATGACTGGGGTTTGTTTCCGAATAGTTCAGACAGTGGGAGAGGAACAGCGTGCGGGAGGTATAGATGCAACAAGACTGATCTGAGTTGATAGTTACTGGAGTTGGGTTATGGCTACATGGAGGCTTTATTGTCCTGTTCTACTACTGTTTTTTTTTTTTTTTCCCCATCGAAAACAAAAACCTAAGGCCGGGCATGGTGGCTTAAACCTGTAATTCCAACACTTTGGGAGGCTGAGGTGGGAGAACCTACTGAGACCGGGAGTTCCAGGCTGCAGTAAGCTGTGATCACACCACTGCACTCTAGCCAGGGCACCCGAGTAAGACCCTGTTTCTAAAAGGGTCTGTTGCCCTGGCTGGAATGCACTAGCATGATCACAACTCACTGCAGCCTTGACCTCCCAGGCTCAGGTGATCTTCCCACCTCAGCCTCCCTCCCGGGTAGCTGGGACCACAAGCATGCACCACTGTGCCTGGCTAATATTTTTTATTTTTGTAGAGATGGAGTCTCCCTGTGTTGCCCAGGCTGGTCTCAAACTCTTGGCCTCAAGCGATCCTCCCACCTCAGCCTCACAAAGTGCTGGGGTTTGTAGGTGTAAGCCACCATGCCTGGCCTAAAATTAAAATCTTTCAAAAAAAAAAAAAAAACCTGGTCTTTTCTCATTGGGCTTATGAGCTCCTGAAGTTCCCTCACCTTTGCATTCCCCACTGTATCTTGGTACTATTCAATTTGATAACTGTTAGATCAAAATCTAAGAGGAAGAAAAAAAGCTCTTTTCAGAGGAATTACTTGTAGCTCTGGCATGTTGGGAAGGCTGAGGCTGGGCCAGATTTGTAACCTCAGCAACATCTTCCATCTCACACTACACCCTGCTACTAAGGAACCTTAGGGAGGGACACACCTTCTGCTCGAGAGAGAGGACTTGGCTGACAGCCCACCTGCCCTGTTACTAAACAGATGGAGAGACGCTGACAGTGAGTAACCTGATTGTTCTAAAGGCTCTGATAAGTGACAAGCTAAGCTCTATTGTGGCAGCTTGTCACTTACGAAGCTCAGGAATGCCATGTACTTGTCAGGACTGGGGCTGCCTGTCAGACAGGTTTTATATTGGGCAAGGCTGTGTATGAAGCCAGGCCTCCAGCCTACATTTATCATCTCTAATTATCAATAGTCGTTTAAAGACTTTCTTTCCTTTTTTTTAAGAGACAGTCTCGCTTTGTCACCCAGGCTGGAGTTCAGTGGCATGATCATAGCTCAATGCAGCCTTGAAACTCAGGGCTCAAGCAATCCTCTTGCCTCAGCCTCCAGAGTAACTAGGACTACAGGCATAAGTCATGCCCAGCTTCTTTGAAGACTTTCGTTCTCAGTGTGACATTACGGAGGATGCACAGGAGCCTCCAGGAGGGCATACCAGTGTGACTACTCCCCACCCACTCGCCCTCCACAACACAGACAAGAAGTCCAAGCTCATAGTAATGTAAAACCATTTGTTTAATTCTAAATCAAATCACTTTCACAACAGTGAAAATTAGTGACTGGTTAAGGTGTGCCACTGTACATATCATCATTTTCTGACTGGGGTCAGGACCTGGTCCTAGTCCACAAGGGTGGCAGGAGGAGGGTGGAGGCTAAGAACACAGAAAACACACAAAAGAAAGGAAAGCTGCCTTGGCAGAAGGATGAGGTGGTGAGCTTGCCGAGGGATGGTGGGAAGGGGGCTCCCTGTTGGGGCCGAGCCAGGAGTCCCAAGTCAGCTCTCCTGCCTTACTTAGCTCCTGGCAGAGGGTGAGTGGGGACCTACGAGGTTCAAAATCAAATGGCATTTGGCCAGCCTGGCTTTACTAACAGGTTCCCAGAGTGCCTCTGTTGGCTGAGCTCTCCTGGGCTCACTCCATTTCATTGAAGAGTCCAAATGATTCATTTTCCTACCCACAACTTTTCATTATTCTTCTGGAAACCCATTTCTGTTGAGTCCATCTGACTTAAGTCCTCTCTCCCTCCACTAGTTGGGGCCACTGCACTGAGGGGGGTCCCACCAATTCTCTCTAGAGAAGAGACACTCCAGAGGCCCCTGCAACTTTGCGGATTTCCAGAAGGTGATAAAAAGAGCACTCTTGAGTGGGTGCCCAGGAATGTTTAAAATCTATCAGGCACACTATAAAGCTGGTGGTTTCTTCCTACCAAGTGGATTCGGCATATGAACCACCTACTCAATACTTTATATTTTGTCTGTTTAAACACTGAACTCTGGTGTTGACAGGTACAAAGGAGAAGAGATGGGGACTGTGAAGAGGGGAGGGCTTCCCTCATCTTCCTCAAGATCTTTGTTTCCATAAACTATGCAGTCATAATTGAGAAAAAGCAATAGATGGGGCTTCCTACCATTTGTTGGTTATTGCTGGGGTTAGCCAGGAGCAGTGTGGATGGCAAAGTAGGAGAGAGGCCCAGAGGAAAGCCCATCTCCCTCCAGCTTTGGGGTCTCCAGAAAGAGGCTGGATTTCTGGGATGAAGCCTAGAAGGCAGAGCAAGAACTGTTCCACCAGGTGAACAGTCCTACCTGCTTGGTACCATAGTCCCTCAATAAGATTCAGAGGAAGAAGCTTATGAAACTGAAAATCAAATCAAGGTATTGGGAAGAATAATTTCCCCTCGATTCCACAGGAGGGAAGACCACACAATATCATTGTGCTGGGGCTCCCCAAGGCCCTGCCACCTGGCTTTACAAATCATCAGGGGTTGCCTGCTTGGCAGTCACATGCTTCCCTGGTTTTAGCACACATACAAGGAGTTTTCAGGGAACTCTATCAAGCCATACCAAAATCAGGGTCACATGTGGGTTTCCCCTTTCCTTGCCTCTTCATAAAAGACAACTTGGCTTCTGAGGATGGTGGTCTTTTGCATGCAGTTGGGCTGACCTGACAAAGCCCCCAGTTTCCTGTGGCAGGTTCTGGGAGAGGATGCATTCAAGCTTCTGCAGCCTAGGGGACAGGGCTGCTTGTTCAGTTATTACTGCCTCGGAGCTCCAAATCCCACCAAAGTCCTGACTCCAGGTCTTTCCTAATGCACAGTAGTCAGTCTCAGCTTCGGCAGTATTCTCGGCTGTATGTTCTCTGGCAGAGAGAGGCAGATGAACATAGTTTTAGGGAGAAAGCTGATGGGAAACCTGTGAGTTAAGCCACATGTCTCACCAGGAATAATTTATGCCAGGAAACCAGGAAGTCATTCAAGTTGTTCTCTGAGGCCAAAGACACTGAGCACAGCCCAGAGCCAATAAAAGATCTTTGAGTCTCTGGTGAATTCACGAAGTGACCCCAGCTTTAGCTACTGCAATTATGATTTTTATGGGACAGCAATTTCTTGCATCTCTACAGAGGAAGAAGAGGGGGAGTGGGAGGGGAAGGAAAGAGAACAGAGCGGCACTGGGATTTGAAAGGGGAACCTCTCTATCTGAGGAGCCCCCACTGGCTTCAGAAGCAACTTACCAAGGGGTATTTAAAGACATGAAAATTTCCAGAAATACCATTTGGTGCATCCCTTTGTTTCTGTAATATTAAACTCAGGTGAAATTATACTCTGACAGTTTCTCTCTTTCTGCCTCTTCCCTCTGCAGAGTCAGGACCTGCAGAACTGGCTGAAACAAGATTTCATGGTGTCACCCATGAGAGATGACTCAATGCCAAGGCCTGAAGTTATAGAGTGTTTACAGCGGTGGCGATATTCAGGGGTCATCGCCAACTGGTCTCGAGTTCCAAAGCTCTGATGAAGAAACAAGACTCCTTGATGTGTTACTGATCCCACTGATTCCAGGAGTCAAGATTAGCCAGGAAGCCAAACACCAGGAGTTGGGGTGGCACGTCACCAGTCCAGAGCCCTGCCACGGATGTAGGCAGGAGCCCAGCATTAGGCAATCAGGAGCCAGAACATGATCACCAGGGCCACAAATAGGAAGAGGCGTGACAGGAACTGCTCGTCCACATACTGGGGTGTCCCAGGGACAGCTGGAGAGACAGAAAGGAGAAAACAGGCTATTAGAACACTGCAGCTATGCACACTGCCCACTCAGGCCAGAAGTTGACAGCATCAATCTTTATCTCTTTACAACATCAGAATCCTACACACAAAAAGATTTCTTTTTTTTTTTTTTGAAATGTAGTCTCGCTCTGTTGCCCAGGCTAGAGTGCAGTGGCACGATCTCAGCTCACTGCAACCTCCGCTTCCCAGGTTCAAGCGATTCTCCTGCCTCAGCCTCCTAAGTAGCTGGGATTACAGGTGTGCGCCACCAAGCCTGGCTAATTTTTGTATTTTTAGTAGAGACGGGGTTTCACCATGTTGGTCAGGCTGGTCTCGAACTCCTGACCTTGTGATCCGCCTGCCTCAGCCTCCAAAAGTGCTGGGATTACAGGCATGAGCCACCATGCCTGGCCTTTTTTTTTTTTTTTCTTTTTGAGGTGGAGTTTTGCTCTTGTTGCCCAGGCTGGAGTGCAATGGCACGATCTCGGCTCACTGCAACCTCCACCTCCTAGGTTCAAGCGATTCTGCTGCCTCAGCCTCCTGAGTAGCTGGGATTACAGGCACGCACCACCACACCCGGCTAATTTTTTTTTTGTATTTTTAGTAGGAACAGGGTTTCACCATGTTAGCCAGGCTGGTCTCAAACTCCTGACCTCAGATGATCCGCCCACCTCAGCCTCCCAAAGCGTTGGCATTACAGGCATGAGCCATCGCGCCCAGCCAAAAAAAATTTCTAAACCCCAAATAATATCAGGCAAAATGAAACTATGTGGAACAATAACAATAAGGACAAGACACGGTCCAATTTATCATAAAAGGTTTGGCCTGCACATGCAAATAAACCAGGTGATTAACAGGAAACTCTTGCAGGAAATAATGAAAGCAAGCCTACTATTTGTTAAGTATCTTCTATCTGCTAAGTGTTTTGTACATGTTATTATTTGGTGGATATTATTATTTCCATTTTGAGTAGGAAGCAGCTGAAACATAGGTTTGAGGTGACCTGTTCAAGATTGAAAGGCTCAGAAATTAGTGGCAGAGCTCTGCAGCCTCTCCACACACTGCCTCTCAAGGGCCCCACAGGGATTGCCTTCCTTTTCCAGAAGAGAACTAGGATCCAGACAGGCAAAATGACTTGTTTTTCAAGGTAGAGGCAGAACTGGGGTGAGAACCTAAGTCTCCACTCCTCTCTGCTTTAGGAAAAGCTACCATTTAGAGCTCCCTGTCCTGACTTTGGGGGAAGGAGGATAAAAGAATCTGTGTCCAGGATGGGCAAATTGTACCAAGCATGACAAGGGAAAACTGTGACTGTGGCAGGGGGATAAAGTAATCCAGAGTCTAGCCTGGCTGTGGAACTCTGCTTAGCTGGGGAATCCAAGGTTAGCCTTCGACCAGGTTAGAAGGATGCAAGCTATCAGGCAGGTTCTTGCTGGCTTCACAGGAATTTGCCCTTTCTTCAGGGCAGAGTACACCCTATCTTTTGGGGTATACTTCCTCTGAAAAACAAATGTGAACAGAGGATAAACCTTCAAGGCAGATAAAGTAAGAAAGGGCATCCCCAGGGCCGGGCGCGGTGGCTCACGCCTGTAATCCCAGCACATTGGGAGGCCCAGGCGGGCGGATCACGAGGTCAGGAGATCGAGACCATCCTGGCTAACACAGTGAAACCCTGTCTCTACAAAAAAATACAAAAAAATTAGCCAGGCGTGGTGGCAGGCGCCTGTAGTCCCAGCTACTCGGGAGGCTGAGGCAGGAGAATGGCGTAAACCTGGGAGGTGGAACTTGCAGTGAGCCGAGATTGTGCCACTGCACTCCAGCCTGGGGGACAGAGCGAGACTCCATCTCAAAAAAAAAAAAAAAAAAAAAAAGGCATTCCCAAGATATCTTGGTGCTGAGATTCCTCAGCTAGATGCTCTGATGGATTCACGAAGACAGACAGGCAGGCAGGCAGGCAGTCAAGAAAGACTTATAGATCACCTGCTGTGTACCAAGGACCAGGGTGGGGATGAGAATAACTGGGATGACCCAGTTACCATCTTTAGGGCATAAGCTCTTGGCGTGAACCACACAATGGTCACTTCTGTACCATATGCTGTGTCCAGTGCACATGAAGCTCCAACAAGTGCAGGCAGAGCTCAACCGATCATGGCATCTCTGCAGGCTCCACAGTAAGGATCTTGGCTTGGGTGTCAGACTGTGATAAGAGTTCAAGGCACCCACCTCATAGAGGTGGCTTGCACCTATAGAGCAAGGGCTCTATACCGAATGCGGATGGCACTTTCAAGCAGTAGGAGGGAGAACTGCAGCAGCAGTTGGTAGACCTAGGCATGGTTCCCACAGGGCTGAGGCTGCTTCTGACCAGCCTCATGTTGTGTCCTGAAGGAAGCTAGACAGAGATGCCAGAGAATGGAGATGCCTTCACTCCTTATGGGTCATCTCACATTTCCAGGCCCCCAAATGGTCAAAGTGGGAAGTAAATGTGCAGAACTAGGCTTTTCCTCAGCTGAGTATCACTTACAGTTTTCCATTTTATAGACATGGGGTATGTCTTGGTAACATTACTGAGCATTTTCTGATCTGTTAAACGCAGCTAATCACACACCTGTTCCATAGGGTGGTTGTGATGATCCCCTGAGCTTGGAATGGAAAGTGCTATATATATGCATGCCTAATAGTTGGTAAGTGCTCAGCATTGTTACCATGTCTGTAAGTGATCTAAAAACAGCTTAAGATATTTTGAAAAGGCTGATTATCCATGTAGTGACAATTATCTGTAACTTATATACTGCTGAATTCCAAGGAGCTTTCAAGCAATATTACTAAGATATCTTCCTAATTTCTCAAGGAAATAGGGTCTTACCTGGAGGAGGCCGCCCATCATTTATATTAAATGCTGTGGCAAATATCCCAAAGGGAAATGCCCCAATTCCAAAAGACATCTGGAAGCCACCATCTCCAAATCCAAATCCTTGAAATCCCTGTGTGGAAGAAAGGCAATTAAGGGCAGGAGAATCAGGCAGGTTTCTCCTGTGCCTGTCAAAACTCAACATACCTCACGTTGTCTTGCATGTGGCACCTGCCTCTTCTCCCTACCTTGTGCCACATGTTTCGAAGGTGGGGGACAGCTTTTCCTCCCATATATACCCTGAAGTAGAGGAACTCTGGCAAGCCCTCTGCCCTTTTAGCCTTAGCTTCCAGCTAAGAATCTATGAATGGGCCAAAAAGGACTGGCTCTGACCCAGTGTGAAACACTCTGCTGACATAAGTCAGCACTCACAGGGCTTGAGGATATTTTCCATAGTCCCACATTAGCTAGTAACACCTTCTACATGCTTTATAGGAGCAATATTGACAGCCACCCCTGTGCCCAAGGGAACATCAAACAAGCTACACATTATCTTTAATAGCAAAAATGTTGAAACTCTAATTAGCCAACAATGGAAGTCATGATCAAAATCTTGATACATGCATTCAAAGAACCATTACCCTGACTTAAGCGGTAACACTGAACAACTCTTGTGACCAAGTTATCAGACAAAATTGTTTGAACACTGTGGTCACAACTACATGACAATATGTAGGTATATGGACAAGTTACGGATTAAAATTTCTTTTAATACTGTTACATAGAATTTTTACATTTTAAAACACTATAATGTTTTCTGGTTATAAAAGTAATATATACTTGCTATAAGAAACTCACATATTACAGAAATAATTGACAGAGTCAGAGATCTTCTATTCACCTTCCCACTTCGCAGCCACTCCACTTTACCTCTGAAATAACCACTATCAGCAGTTTGGTATATCACCCTCAGTTTTCTTTCCATGTGCATGTTCTACACTGCATCATCTTTCACATGAAAAGATTCAGCAGGAACAATACTGTGAATAAATAACTCCCTTTTTTAAAGCGTGAGCTCTGTGCTAGGCACCATGTTAAGCACTAGGACATATAAATCATGTTTAATTTTTACATTGGCTTCATCTGCATTTCACAGATGACCAAACTGAGGCTTGGAGAGGTGAAATAACTTGACCAAGGAGTACAGTTTAGATCTAAAACTAGGTCAATTTGATCTGAAAACACATGCTTTTCTTTTTCTTTTCTTTTTTTTTGAGACAGGGTCTCGCTCTGTCACCAAGCCTGGAGTGCAATGGTGCAATCATGGCTCACTGTAGACTCAACCTCCCAGGCTCAAGCAATGCTCCCATCTCAGCCTCTTGAGTAGCTGGGACCACAGGTGTACCCCTCCATGCTTTGCTAATTTTTAAATTTTTTGTACAGATAGGGTCTCACTTTGTTGCTCAGGCTGGTCTCAAACTCCTGGGCTCAAGTGATCCTCCCACCTCAGCCTCCCAAAGTGCTGGGATTAGAGGCCAGAGCCACTGTGCCCGGCCTTCATGCTCTTAATTACTGTGCGCATCTTTCAAATATTTTTTTCTCTTCCCCTGCACCCCTGATGAGAGGTTTAGAACAAATGATTTTAAAAATAATAAAAAGCAGACAGACTATTGGGTCAAATGCTCTTCACAAAGAGCTCAATGGCCTTCATTTATGAGTTTTTTGCAAGTCACAAAAATAGCTGCTCTCCATCACACACTGATCAGCCTGGCATCTAGTTCCAAACTTCTTGCCAGATGGCATCACCTATAAAGCCTAACAGCTGACTTAATGAGAGGGCAAACCTAAAGGGAGGGAAAACAAAGAGTTTCCATCTCCTCAATACAAAATGCCTCCTACTCAGTTCATGGTTGAATCTAATGGCTCCTGGGACTGAGGCTGCCTTACTTGGGAAGGTGCAATTGTTTCATCAGGAACCACAGATTCATTCAGTGCAATCCTGAGGACTAACCGTTCTGCTTCCCTTCTAGCAACATCTTTATGATCTCACCAGTCCATACATTTGGTGGGATTATGTTCCTGGGCCAGAGTATGCAAAAAAACATCGCTAGTAGCTGCAGGTGCTTATAAATGCTAGAGGTATGCACTTTGGTCAACAAGGCCAGGGCCTCTGGCTTCTGGGGGCCTCTGATTCCTGCATTAGTTGCTAATGCTCTGTAGGAAACCAAAACCTAGGAATGTTAAAGTGGTGTCACCTGGTGGTCAAGAGCAGAGACTTCAATACCAGCCAGATCTGGGTTTCAGCACTGTACGTGTGGCCCTGGACAGATCACTTTACCTATCTGGGCCTCAGTTTCCTCCTCCGTTAAATGAGTTGATGTGAGGCTTAAATGAGATCATGCATATAAAGCTCTTAACATATAGTTATTTCCATATAGTAACCATTCAACAAGTGTTCACTGCTAGTATTATTATTAAGGGTAATCCGGAGAAGAGAACCTTAATTTCTTTCTTTCTTTTTTTTTTTTTTTGAGACAGAGTCTTGCTCTGTCGCCAAGGCTGGAGTGCAGTGGTGTGATCTCAGCTCACTGCAACCTCTGCCTCCCGAGTTCAAGTGATTCTCCTGTTTCAGCCTCCCGAGTAGCTGGGACTACAGGCACATGCCACCACACCCGGCTAATTTTTATGTTTTTAAGAAAGCAGAGACAGGGTTTCACCATATTGGTCAGGCTGGTCTCGAATTCCTGACCTCAGGTGATCCACCCGCCTCAGCCTCCCAAAGTGCTGAGATTACAGGTGTGAGCCACCACGCCCAGCCGAGAACCTTAATTTCTTTCAAGATCCCTGACTCAATAATCCTACTCCTGGAAATCCTAATAAAATGCCATTATTCAAACTCAAAAAAAAAAAAAAAAAAAAAAAAAAAGAAAGTGGCAGTGCGCGGTGGCTCACGCCTGTAATCCCAGCACTTTGGGAGGCCAAGGAGGGCGGATCATCTGAGCTTGGGAGTTCGAGACCAGCCTGACCAACATGGAGAAACCTCGTCTCTACTAAAAATACAAAAATTAGCTGGGCATGGTGGCCCATGCCTATAATCCCAGCTACTCTGGAGGCTGAGGCAGAAGAATTGTTTAAACCCGGGAGGCAGAGGCTGTGGTGAGCCGAGATCGCACTACTACACTCCAGTTGGGCAACAAGAGTGAAACTTCATCTCAAAAAAAAAAAAAAAAAAAAAAGTGTGCAAAGATGGTTATTGTAGCATTATTTAAACAGCAAAATGGGGAAACAACTAAAAGGTCCTTCGATGAGGAAAACCCAAATTACAATGAACCAAAACTCAATGGGTTCCCAGCAATAGCATGGAAAAATAAAAAATAATAAAAAACTCAATAGGATAAATGGCAGCCTAAATAATAAAGAGGACACTTCAGAGCATCATGGAAAACCTGCCAAAATTAAATTTTAAAGCAAACAGAATGGTGATGGCTACATAAAAATACATATGCACAGCCTACAGATGAAGAGAACATGAGGATATGAGAATATACTTGTTCTGGGCTCTTGGCAATGGTGGGTAAATATTTTGCTTTTAAAATTTCTTTAACATTTTAACAGAATTTTTTTAAGAGTAACATTTGATGTAAATATGCAAAAAATGTAAATGTTTTTGTTCCTAGCCACTAGACCACTAGAGACAAATGTGCAATTTTTTTTTAGCCAGTAATCTTACTTCTAAGAATTTATCCTAAGCCAGGTACAGTGGTTCACGCCTGTAATCCTAACACTTTGGGAGGCTGAGGTGGGAGGATTGCTTGAGCCCAGGAGTTAGAGACCAGCCTGGGCAACATAGTGAGACCTTGTTTCTACCCAAACAAAACAAAACAAAAAAAAGAAAGACAAAAAAAAACTCAAAAAACTAGCTGGGCATGGTGCCGTGCACCTGTGGTCCCAGCTACATGGGAGGCTGAGGTAGACTGAGCCCAGGAGGTCGAGGCTACAGTGAACTGTGATCACACCACTGCACTCCAGCCTGGGCTACAGAGTGAGACCCTGTCTTATCCTAATAAAATAATAATGAACATGCTCACAAATTTATCTGTAAGTTCATCAGGATTTTTTTTAACTTGGAAAAAGAAAGCCGCTAATGTCTAACAAAGGATTGAATTATGTTAAATCCACACAACTAAATGCTAAACAGCTAGTTAGTAAAATATTGCTGGCAATGTAAAATCTCAAGATAATACTAAAAGACTCCCACTCACACAAAGAAGGTACTAAGTATCTGTAGAACAAATGAAATTTTAAGAGAGGGTTACAAAACAGGAGCCACATATTGTAAAAAACAAAAAACAAAAACTGTAAAAAGTATACACACATCTGTAAAATACACGCACAGATTTGTAAAATTTGTGTGTATATATAATTATAGAAAAATGGAAAAGAAAATAGAACCAAAATGTTTCCAGTGGTTACCTCTGGATTGGTGTGGTTATAAGTGATTTTTTTCCCCCTCTTTTCCTTTCTGTATTTTACAAGTTTTCCTTTACTTTTATAATCAAGGAGAAAAATTGTAAGGCTAAGAAGGAAACTTCTAAAGCCATCAGCTCATTTGTAGAAGCTTCTCCTAGAATGTTCCTCACCCCTCTATTCTCCGGCTCTGGCCTCTGTCCTTGAGGACGAGGAGGGGTCTTCTCTCTGAAACAGAAATGGTGTAAAATAAGTCTATTACAAATTGCTTTGAGTTGCTCCCTGTGAGGACCTGGAGCTCTTTACCAACAGGGTCAGGGCCATAGCCTCTTTCTTGTCCAGGACATGAACTTATGCCAGATTAATTCTCCAAATACGAACTCTTCATTCTACCTGCAACTGTTCTTCCCACGTGTATAGAGAACCAGGGAGAAAATCAACTCGTTATGAGATATTCACCAGATTGCACTACAGCCTACTCCTCTTACAGAGATCCTGACTCAGATCGGTTAGGAATCATGGCCAGATGCCTTCCCTGGGCCTGTTACAGATAACAGAAATCCCAAATCCATACTGGAACAGAGGGTGGGTTGTCAGCAGTAAGGGCTGAGGTTCATGGTTTCTCTGACCTTCCCCTATTAACTTCAGCTCTATCTCCTACTATTCTTGGGCAAATACCCAATGCTATTATTTTTGAGTCTCACCCCCTCAAATCACTCAACCCATGAATACTCAATTGAGGGCTTAGTTATACAATAAGCATTATGCAGGATGCTGTAATACTGATGACAGACCCAACCCTTGAAGTGTTCATGGTTTCAAGGGGGATAAAGCCAGTCATATGACACTGTGGTGGGAACTGGGTGAGAGCAACTAATGTGAAGAAGACAGACCACTTCAAGGAAGAGGGAACTTTAGGGCTGCTCATAAGAGATGAGTAGAAGTTAGAGGAGCAGGTGGGGGTAGAGGGGTAGCTTGAGCAGGACTGGGGAGGGAAGAAGGCAGAAGAGAGAGCAAATACACAGGCTGATAAATGTGAAAGAGCAAGTCCCTTTAAGAGAAAGTCTAATATGTCGGGTACACAGCATATGCTAGGGTAGCTGGATAAAGGTAAGAGATTCTTCTGGAGAGCTTGGGGATGCCAGACCATGAAGGGCTCTCAATACTTGTGTTTGTTGAATGCTGGACCCATGCACATCTCCATTTCTAGAAATCCCAAACTCCACAAAGTCACCCAGATCCTGTTTCCCCTCCCGCCATGCTTTATACATCACTGATGCAGCAACCCTGCTCCCTGGAGCCTCTCCTGCTACATATCCTGCTTCCCAGGTTGCAGAAATGCTCTTTCACAGGGCTCTGCACACTTGTGATTGTGATGTCTGTTCACTGCTGGGTCCTAGCAAGTGGCAACTTGGATCCCCTCTCTTCCCTCCCCTCCTAGCTGACTCTCATCTGGATGAGACTGCTTCGAAACCAAGAGATCATCTAGTACTAAGTAAAGGGTGGGGTTAGGGGATGCTGAATGGGAGTGAATTCACATCCAAGGGGAGAAGTGGTTGGGAGAGGCATCCTGAGTCCTCACCTGGGGTCCTGTTGCCCAGTGCTGCCCCTTCCATAGAGGGGGATGACCTTGTCTCGGCTGATGCCAGCTTTGCAAACAGGACACACCTGTCTGTTAGGTCTGGTCTCCAACCACTGCAAACAGGAGAGAAAAATGCATGTGGATGGCCCAAGACCCACCAGAGTGATCAGCCAGAGCCACCAGAACAACACAGGCCAGAGGCCTCAAACTGGGAAACACCAGCATGAGCAGGGAACATCTCAAGGAACCTGACTCCCATTCCTTCTCCTACCATTCAGCAAATACCTACCAGTGGTAAAATCAAAATTGCCTTTAAATATCATCATAATTGGCCGGGTGCGGTGCTCATGCCTGTAATCCCAGCGCTTTGGGAGGCGGAGGTGGGTGGATCACCTGAGGTCAGGAGTTCAAGAGAAGCCTGGCCAACAAGGTGAAACCCCGTCTCTACTAAAAATACAAAAATTAGCCAGACATGGTGGCGCATGCCTGTAGTTCCAGCTACTCGGGAGGCTGAGGGAGGAGAATCGCTTGAACCCGGGAGGCGGAGGTTGCAGTGAGCCGAGATTGCACCACTGCATTCCAGCCTGGGCAACAGAGCAAGACTCTGTCTCAAAAAAAAGAAAAAAAATCATCACAATTAGGCTTCTTCATGCTTTGTTTCTCTCTAGGGCCTCCTAGCAACACAGGGGGAGGGAAACTGCAAGTCTGGGGCTGTCAAGTCTGACATGCCCAGCCTCAATTTAGGCTGCTGGTGTAAGTACAGCAAACTTTAAATCCCCACCTTCCCAGTAGGAGCAACTGTATTTTCCTGTCAGTCATATTCTTCTTTCTGTGATTTCTCATTTTTTTTTCCCCAGACAGAGTCTTGCTCTGTCACCCAGGCTGGAGTGTAGTGGCATGATCTCAGGTCACTGCAACCCCTGCCTCCTGGGTTCAAGCAATTCTCCTGTCTCAGCCTTCCAAGTAGCTGGGATTACAGGCGCCCACCACTGCGCCCAGCTAATTTTTGTATTTTTAGTAGAGACAGGGTTTCACCATGTTGGCCAGGCTGGTCTCAAACTCCTGACCTCGTGATCTTCCTCCCTTGGTCTGCCAAAGTGCTGGGATCACAGGCATGAGCCACCGCGCCCGGCCAATTTCTCATTTTTATAGCATTTTCCCAACAACTGTGTATCCCAGGCATCAGAATCAGGAGATAAGCTGATCATTTTCTGGTGACTTACCACATGCTAAAGGATAGGTTTTGCTCATTATCTAAATTTGCTTAATGCTTTTTGTGTACTTTCATTGATTTTTTGCATTCACCTATTTCTTTCAATATAAAAAAAATCCCGTTTTGGGTTTCTCAGGCCCTTTCACTGGTTACATTAAAATTTTTTGTTTAGGCCAGGCGCGGTGGCTCACGCTTGTAATCCCAGCACTTTGGGAAGCTGAGGCGGGTGGATCACCTGAGGTCAGCAGTTCAAGACCAGCGTGGGGAACATGGTGAAACTCCGTTGTCTCTACTAAAAAGACAAAAAAACTAGCCGGGTGTGGTGGTGTGCACCTGTAATCCCAGCTACCCAGGAGGCTGAGGCACAAGAATCGCTTGAACCCGGGAGGCGGAGGTTCCAGTGAGCCGAGATCTCACCATTGCACTCTAGCCTGGGCGACAGAATGAGACTGTCTCAAAAAAAAAAAAAAATTAATTTTCTTAAAAAAACAAGTGATAAAAAATGTTTTTGGTTTGTTTTTGTTTGTTTTTTGCTTGTTTTTGATTTTTTTTTCGGTTTTTTGGTTTTTTTTCTCGAAACAGAGTCTCACTATGTCACCCAGGCTGGAGTGCAGTGGTGCAATCTCAGCTCACTGCAACCTCTGCCTCCCAGATTCAAGCGATTCTCGTGCCTCAGCCTCCCTAGTAGCTCGGACTATAGGCGTGCACCACCACGCCCAGCTAATTTTTATATTTTTTGTAGAGACGGGGTTTTGCCATATTGGCCAGGCTGTTCTCAAACTCCTTGCCTCAAGTGATCCACCTGCCTTGGCCTCCCTACGTGCTGGAATTATAGGTGTGAGCCACCACACCCGGCCAAAATGTGTTTTTATAGACATTCTATAAACATGAATCTAGGACTTCAGGGCTGAGGAGATGGCAGCACTGAATGATTTTATTTACTACTCTTACTGTTCATAGCTCCAAAACTTAATGTGTTATGTGTTCTTCATAAACTCATAGTCAATATGTACTACCAGGTCCCGCTGGGGACAGAATGTGCAGCCCTGTTCCCACCTTCTTTCTCCCATCCAGATTCTGAAGCTTTAGCAGTCTGGAACTTCTGTCCTCCCCCACATTCCCAGGCCACCTACGAGTGTGGTACTCTACTGCTGACGACCAGGGAGACTTTCAGCAGGCTGTGATTATTCACAGCCACTTGTGAATGCCAGGCCCAGCTCTGTCTCACCAAGTAGGTGCTAAAGCTAGGAAAATAGACTTTTCTCTCCTCACAAAAGCTCTTTGTTGACACCAAAAAAATTTTCCCCTTCCTAATATTTTCATAACCTTTAAGGGCTGGGGGACTGTTGATATGATAGGAGGCACTGTTTTAATAGAAGCAGAATCTCAAAAATAAAAAGGACCTAACTAACATACTATCAATCCAATCCAATTTATAAATGAGTAACTGAGATCCAAAAAGGCCCTCTGTGGCAGAATTAGGACCATCCCGATTTCATCAAGTGTCTGTCAGTGGACAGGTATGTAAAGAAGGCTGTGGGGGTAAGTAAGCAAATGAGCCCACAAGCAGGGCAGATTGCAGCTTCTGAAAGCAGTCTCCTGAGACTAGGGCTCTCTTGTGCAACCAGAGCTGATGAAAGACAAAGTAAAATGAAATGCATCTTACCTGATGTAAACACGGCCAACTGCCAGAGTCCCCAGGGCAACCAGTCATCAAGGAGAAGGAGAAAAGGGGAAAGGAAGAAAAATGTTTTCATTAGCAGAAACACTTGATGGGTGGAGTGGTAGTAGCAGAATGAGAAAACAGGAGTAAACTATGGAGCACTGCATGCCCATTGAGGTTCTGTAGGGATTACTGGTATCGGAAATTAAAAAAAAACTGGGGTAAAAATCACAGAAAATAAATAACGCAATGGAGATAAGACCCCAGCCTCTGCCCCTGAGATCTCAGTATATGTGAAATCCCCAGGGCTCAGACCACACAGACCCAGCTTCTCTACAAATCACCCTGTGAGAGGTTACAACATCTGAAGGAATCCAATAAAAGCTAAGGACACCCTGTGCAAAAAATTGATGGGGGCATTCACATACACATGTACTACACACTATTTTACACTCAATTTCAGTGGGTTCATAGTCTCCTCGGGCTCACAAGGGATGTGTGGACTCTCAGGTAGTCCAGATCCAGTTTAACAAAATCTTCAGGCTGTCCTCATCCTTGAGAACTCTCCTAGCAGGAAGCAGCTTAAAAGTTCAGGTCTACTCTAAAAGCATCTTTAAGTAATAGAAAGGATGGGGATGCTACTTGACAGAAAGGGTTACCTTCAGCTTAGAGAGCTGCTGTCCAATCTCTCTCCATTTTCAAATGAGGAAACCAAAGCTCAGAAACATAAAATGAACTGCATCAGGATTAAAAAAAAAAGTCTCCTGACTTCTAGTTCATTGCCCTTTCTATAATCTAACACCACATACAAAAAAAAAATGATATCTACAGAATTGAAAGAAAAGTATTCAACTCCACTTTTTTTTTTTTTTTTTTTTGAGACGAAGTTTTGTTCTTGTTGCCCAAGCTGGAGTGCAGCTCACTCAGCTCACTGCAACCTCCACCTCCCAGGTTCAAGCGATTCTCCTGTCTCAGCCTCCTGAGTAGCTGGGATTATAGGTGTGTGCCACCACGCCCAGCTAATTTTTTGTATTTTTAGCAGAAACGGGGTTTCACCGTGTTAGTCAGGCTGGTCTCAAACTCCTGACCTCAGGTGATCCGCCCACCTTGGCCTCCCAAAGTGCTGGGATTAAAGGTGTGAGCCACCGTGTCTGGCCCACATTTTTAATTTCTTTCTCTCGTTTATTTAGTTAACACATATCTACTGTGTACCTACTATGTAGGCCAGGACAGTGGAAAATGCAGGCATGGCTTCTGTACCTCACATACCAAGTATCTTTAGCTGAGTACACTTTGAACTCAAAGGATAGTTCCTTTTCCAATTCCTGAACCACAGTTTAGCTTCACAAACCAAATACACAATCTTCCTGGCCATAACATCTGACTCCAACATTAATCTTGCAATGTCATTCTAAACTGAGTGGAGAATAACCCCAAATCATGGCAGATCTCCACTGGCAAGTTCCCTTAAAGACTCTAGGGGAGAAGTGGAGGTGAATGAATGACCCTCAGGGGAAAGTCAGGCTTTATAACAACGACCATTCCTCCCATTTATTAAGCAACGATAGTCATGTATCACTGAACGACAGGGATAATTCTGAGAAATGTGTCATTAGGCAATTTCATCATTGTGAGCATCACAGAGTGTACTTACACAAACCTAGCTGAAATAGCTTACTACACACCTAGGCTACATAGTATAGCCTATTGCTCCTAAGCTACAAACCTGAATAGCATGTGAGTATCATAGGTAACTGTAACAGAGTGGTAAATATTTGTGTATTTAAACATACCTAACATAGAGCCAAGGTGTGGTGGCTCATGCCTGTAATCCCAGCACTTTGGGAGCTGAGGTGGGCAGATTATTTGAGGTCAGGAGTTCGAGACCAGCCTGGCCAACATGGTGAAACCCCATCTCTATTAAAAATACAAAAACTAGCCATGTGTGGTGGCACATGCCTGTAATCCCAGCTACATAGGAGGCTGAAGCACGAGAATCACTTGAACCTGGGAGGTGGAGGTTGCAGTGAGCTGAGATCGTGCTACTCAATCTGGAGTGCTACTGCACTCCAGCATGGGTGACGCAGTGAGACTCCATCTCAAAAAAAACCAAAAACCAGGCTGGGCGTGGTGGCTCACGCCTGTAATCCCAGCACTTTGGAAGGCTGAGGCGGTTGGATCACCTGAGATCAGGAGTTCAAGACCAGCCTGGCCAACATGGTAAAACCCCGTCTCTACTAAAAATACAAAAATTAGTCAGGTGTGGTGGCACGTATGTGTAATCCCAGCTTCTCGGGAGGCTGAAGCAGGAGAATCGTTTGAACCTGGGAGGCAGAGGTTGCAGTGAGCCAAGATCACGCCACTGCACTCCAGCCTGGGCAACAGAGTGAGACTCCTCAAAAAAACAACAAACAAACAAACAAAAAATCCAACATACCTAACACAGAAAAGGTAACGCACTGCTCTATAACATTTTAAAATCACTAGATTATAGGAACTTTTCAGGTCCATCATCATCTTATGGAACCGCTGTTGGATATGTAATCCATTGTTGACCAAAATGTCATTATGTACTGCATGACTGTACTGTGTGCCACGCTGTGGCTGAATACCTTTTCATTTCTTAATGTCACTGGACGGTCACATTAACCTATGAGGCAGTACCATCATCTCCATCTTACAGATGAGGAAACCAAAGTACAGGGAAGCTAGCAGATTTGCTCAGGGATGCACCATCCAGACTGGAAGCATCTGTTTCATTTTAGAGTCTGTGTTCTTTCCAATGGCATTCTGCCTTTAAAAAAAAAATTGATAGCAGGCATGGTGGCTCACACCAGTAATCCCAGCACTATGGGAGGCCGAGGCGGGCAGATAACGAGGTCAGAAGATCGAGACCATCCTGGCCAACATGGTGAAAACCTCTCTCTACTAAAAATACAAAAATTAGCTGGGTGCACCTGTAATCCCAGCTACCCGGGAGGCTGAGGCAGGAGAATTGCTTGAACTTGGGAGGCAGAGATTGCAGTGAGCCGAGATTGTGCCACTGCACTCCAGCCTGGTGACAAAGCAAGACTTCGTCTCTAAAAAAAAAAAAAAAAATTTGACACAGGGCCAGGCATGGTGGCTCACGCCTGTAATCCTAGCACTTTGGGAGGTCGGGGTGGGCAGATCACTTGAGGTGAGGAGTTTGAAACCAGCTTGGCCAGCATGGCGAAGCCCCATCTCTACTAAAAATACAAAAAGAAAATTAGCCGGGCGTGGTGGTGCATTCCTGCAGTCCCAGCTACTTGGGAGGCTGAGACAGGAGAACCACTTGAGCCCAGGAGGCAGAGGTTGCAAGTGAGCCAAGACTGCACCACTGTACTCCAGCCTGGGCAAGAGAGCAAGGCTGTCTCCACAAAAAAAAAAAAAAAAAAAAAAAAAAAGATATACAACAGCTGTACATTTAAATATATGTATAGTTAATATATACATAAAATACATAATTTATAATCTTAAAATTTATAATTATAAAATTTAATAAATACATACACAAACACAAACACACACACACACACACACACACACACATTTTTTTTTTGAGACAGAGTCTTGCTCCATCACCCAGGCTGGAGTGCAGTGGCGCGATCTCAGCTCGCTGCAAGCTCTGCCTCCCGGGTTCACGCCATTCTCCTGCCTCAGCCTCCCCAGCAGCTGGGACTACAGGTGCACTCCACCACACCCGGCTAATTTTTTTTTTTTTTTTTTTTTAGTAGAAACGGGTTTCACCGTGTTAGCCAGGATGGTCTCGATCTCCTGACCTTGTGATCCGCCCACCTTGGCCTCCCAAAGTGCTGGGATTACAGGCGTGAGCCACCGCGCCCAGCCCAGAATATATATATATTTTTAAGAGACAGGGTCTCTCTCTGTCGCCTAGACTGGAGTGCAGTGATACAATCATAGCTCACTGTAGCCTCGAATTCCTGGGCTCAAGCCTTCCTCCCACCTCAGTCTCCCGAGTAGCTAGGACTACAGGTACCGCCACCATGCCTGACTAGTTTTAAACATAGTGGGGCCTCACTATGTTGCCCAGACTCATCTTGCACTCCTGGGCTCAAGTGATCCTCCCACCATGGCCTCTCAAAGTGTTTGGATTACAGGTGTGAGCCACTGAGCCCAGCCATAATAGCTGTACACATTTTTTATGTTATATGTGATAATTTGATACATTCACATAATCAAATCAGGGGTATCCTGTCTTTGAATTCTTAATTTTGTCAATCATTTCAAGTCCTGGTTTTACGATACCCTGAAGTATCCTGAATTTCTAGGAGAATGTGGATCACAACAGCTTTTACACAAGATGGTAATTAGGGCAAGAGCCTCAAGAACAAAAATCTCTGCTCCATTCTATTTATTCACCAATAAATTGATGTTTTACGCTGTTGCCAACTTAAAATCCCTTAAATATTGTTTAAACGGCCTTTTCTTCACACGATTTCTCTGCTCAAAAATATTCATTACCTCTATGTCCCTTTAGTCGAATCTGGGTTTGATAATCTGGCTCAACACTACTGTAACCATTATTTTTCCTAACACTCCCAGACCCTCATCCAGAGTGCTGTGAGAGGTATACAGTAGCCTCAAGGGTCTCAGATGAGTCCAACAGTGCATGTGCCTGTCCCTAGAAACTCCCTGCCTTGGAGTGACACACACACCCTTCGCCTTTACCTAGCATTTTTTGATCGACCTTTCAAGGTTCAGCTCAAAATCTCAAGACAAAAAAAAACACACACACACACACAAAAAACCAAAATCCGACCTTCACCTAGCACCTAGGTTCTCAGAGCCAGAAAGGGCTCCTGTAACCGTCAAGGCTGGAACAGACACCGACCTTGACACTTCATTTTGATGAGTGTATCTATCTATATATAAACATAAAATATAGTAACAATTATAGTCATAGCTAACACATAGTATTTACTGCAAGCTATGTGCTCTTCTAAGCCTTTTACATATTTTGAGTCATTTAATGCTTGCAAACGACCCTGTAAAATGAGGCAGAATGTGTGTAAGTACCTTGTCCAAGGTCAAACAGGAAGGTGGCAGAGTCAAGCTTCAAAAGGAGGAAGCCCAGTTCCACAGTCCTTGCTTATAACCATTATGCTATACTGCCTCTAGGCTCAGCACAGCAAGTAGCAGGTAGTAAGTGCTCACTAAATGGTAAGTATTATTACTTTAGAGATGGGGAGAACGAGCTTAGAGTGGAGACAGGATTTGCCCAAGGTCATCCAGCTCATTGGTAGCAGAGCTGGGATGGGAACTCAGGTCTCTTGTCCCTTGAGCCTGAGTGTATTCCCAAAGTGAGCAGGAAGCATTCTGCTCCAAACCACCCAGGGCCACAGGCTTTCCAAACTTGGCAATGTGCTCTCTGGGGTGGAAGTAGGGGTACTGACCAGAAGAGGTGGCCACACAGGCTGATGACGGCATCCTTGGCTGTGTCCAAGCAGATGTTGCACTCGAAAGTGCTGTCCTGCCCTCCGCTCTCGCCAGCGCCATTGCTGCTCCCACTGGGCCCCCCTGCACTGGAGTTCTCAGGAGATGCAGAGGCCGAGGGCCCCTTGCTTGCCATCCTTGGCTGTCAGCGAAGCTCTGAGTGAAGACTTTCCCCAGGGAAATCCTAAAAGGCAGAGAACTCTTGACTGTCCATTTCTGCAGCCCTCTCCCCCCAGCTTCCATGCCAACATTCCTGTCTTCTCTAGGCTCCAGAGCTGATTATGACTGAATCCCTGAGCAGACTTCCCAAAGCGCTACAGAAGACAAGAGTTGTAGGGCACTACCCAAAGGGCAGTGACCCAGAAACTTCTCATGAATATGGTCCAGAATATATCACACAGATACGCAAACTCCACCAAATACAGAGCAGCCTCCAGATGGTTCTCCACAGGAACCAGGACCTTGTCTCACTTGTCTTTAGATTCCCCCATGACAATCAACCCAGGTGACAAATACATGCTACATTAAATGGAATGTTCAGGCTGTCCAGCCTCTATATTGATGGGTGAATCTGCTGAGGCAGGAAGGTTGTGATTGTCATATGCCAGAACATATATATATATTTTTAAGAGATGGAGTTTCACTCTGTCGCCCAGGCTGGAGTGCAGTGGCACAATCTTGGCTCACTGCAACCTCTGCCTCCCAGGTTCAAGTGATTCTCCTGCCTCAGCCTCCCGAGTAGCTGGGATTACAGGTGCCTGCCACCACACCTGGCTAATTTTTGTATTTTTAGTAGAGATGGGGTTTCATCATGTTGGCCAGGCTGGTCTTGAACTCCTGACCTCAGGTGATCCACCTGCCTCAGTTTCCCAAAGTGCTAGGATTACAGGTGTGAGCCACTGTGCCCAGCCCATACGCCAGAATATTAAGAAATTCCTGTAACTATGAAAGGATAGGAAGCTAATAAGGACCAGAAAGATCATCTGGTCCAAGGTCTTCCATATTGCAATCTTTTTCAATCCTCCTTCTGCCACATTGGAATACTATTCACCTTATTTTATCTAAATATATCAACTTTTTAGCCTCAGTACATTTAAAGAAGAGGTTTATGTCACTGTAATAAATGGAAAACCAGTAATACTTACCATAAGTAAAAAGGTTAATATAAAAGTAACAAATGAAAAGTTTACCCTCATACCACCTGACATCACCTGGCACACTCATACTATGTTTTGGACAATCTTGATCTGGTCCAATTTCTTTAGGAAACTGCAGTTACCTTGGCTAGCTGACTAATGTGGGGCTGAGACTGGGACTCATGGACACCCTGTTTGCACCGTACCACTACATACTAAACTGGCCACTAAATGCTGGTATAAACAGACCACTGTTGACCACCACCTCCAAGTCAAAGAACCCAGCCAGGAGTTGAACAAGAAAGAGGATAAAACCAACACCAAGGGATACCCAGGAATTCTGGATGCACATTAACAATCTGTCAGGAGCCTTATCTGGCCACCCTCATCACCTCAGAAATTCCAAGTAGGAAATGTTCGCTGGCTACCACAGTCAGAGAAGTGGAGGCCTGGATACTGGACTCAGCCTCTAGCTTGCTAGGTGGTTCTGGGAACCTCCCTTTCCCTCTACTGATCATAATTTTCTCATCTGTAAAATGAGGCACTGGACTCCCTGGTGTCCTGGGTGGCCCCCTCCAGCTCTTAGACTGTGCCTCTCCAGGTCATCTTAACCTACTGTTACCTCCAAAACAAGCGGCCCCTTCACAAATTTAGGACTTACCACTGGAACACCAGAAGGTCACCCTGATGTCAGCTTCCAGAGTATGAGAAGACAAGGACCAAAAAAGTTACAGCCTTCTCAGACCCAGAAAGCTTCCTGCCTTCACACGGTGGACTCAGAGCTCTGGCCTCATGAGTATCCCTCACCACGATACCAGCTCAGTGACTTGAGCAGAGAGAGGAGGCCAGCTCACCACTTTTTCACTCAGTTACATCATTTTACATAATGTCCCAGAAGGGTAGCTGGATGCTGGTGGCACCAGTTTCGTGCGCTGGCCTCGGCTCCAAGACCTTCTCTCTGACCTTCCTCTTCTTCATATTACATGTGCTCTCTTCATCTTAGGATAAAACCCACTTTTGAGGGCCACATTACTATCTTTCCTCATTATTCCAGCTCAACAATCAATCCTAAGTACCCAACCTATGTGTGTTTCTTTTTAAAAAAAAAAAAAAATCTTAAAAAATTAAAAATTGCTCTCCCTCCCCCTCCCCCTCCCTCTCCCCTTTGCACGGTCCTCGTCTCCCCTTTGCACGGTCTCCCTCTGATGCCGAGCTGAGGCTGGACAGTACTGCCGCCATCTTGGCTCACTGCAGCCTCCCTGCCTGATTCTCCTGCCTCAGCCTGCCGAGTGCCTGGGATTGCAGGCGCGCGCCGCCACACCTGACTGGTTTTCATATTTTTTGGTGGAGACGGGGTTTTGCCGTGTTGGCCGGGCTGGTCTCCAGCTCCTGACCGCCAGTGGTCTGCCAGCCTCGGCCTCCCGAGGTGCCAGGATTGCAGACGGAGTCTCGCTCACTCAGTGCTCAATGTTGCCCAGGCTGGAGTGCAGTGGCGTGATCTCGGATCGCTACAACCTCCACCTCCCAGCCGCCTGCCTTGGCCTCCCAAAGTGCCGAGATTGCAGCCTCTGCCCGGCCGCCACCCCATCTAGGAAGTGAGGAGCGTCTCTGCCTGGCCGCCCATCGTCTGGGATGTGAGGAGCCCCTCTGCCCAGCCGCCCAGTCTGGGAAGTGAGGAGCGCCTCTCCCCGGCGGTCATCCCGTCTAGGAAGTGAGGAGAGTCTCTCCCTGGCCGCCCATCCTCTGGGATGTGGGGAGCGCCTCTGCCCCGCCACCCCGTCTGAGATGTGAGGAGTGCCTCTGCCAGGCCGCGACCCCGTCTGGGAACTGAGGAGTGTCTCTGCCCCACCGCCACCCGTCTGGGAGGTGAGGAGCGTCTCTGACCTGCCACCCTGTCTGAGAAGTGAGGAGCCCCTCTGCCCGGCAGCCGCCCCGTCCGGGAAGTGAGGAGCGTCTCTGCCCGGCAGCTGCCCCGTCCAGGAGGTGGTGGGCAGCCCCCGCCCGGCCAGCCGCCCCGTCCGGGAAGGGAGGGGCAGCCCCCGACCGGCCAGCCGCCCCGTCCGGGAGGTGGGGGGGGGCAGCCCCCGCCCGGCCAGCTGCCCCGTCCGGGAGCTCGGGGCAGCCCCCGCCTGGACAGCTGCCCCGTCCGGGAGGTGGGAGCCCCTCTGCCCGGCCGCCACCCCGTCTGGGAGGTGTACCCAACAGCTCATTGAGAACGGGCCATGATGACAATAGCGGTTTTGTCGAATAGAAAAGGGGGAAATGTGGGGAAAAGAAAGAGAGATCAGATTGTTATTGTGTCTGTGTAGAAAGAAGTAGACATAGCAGACTCCATTTTGTTCTGTACTAGGAAAAATTCTTCTGCCTTGGGATGCTGTTAATCTATAACCTTACCCCCAACCCCTGCTCTCTGAAACATGTGCTGTGTCCACTAAGGGTTAAATGGATTAAGGGCGGTGCAAGATGTGCTTTGTTAAACAGATGCTTGAAGGCAGCATACTCGTTAAGAGTCATCACCACTCCCTAATCTCAACTACCCAGGGACACAAACACTGCGGAAGGCGGCAGGGCCCTCTGCCTAGGAAAACCAGAGACCTTTGTTCACATGTTTATCTGCTGACCTTCCCTCCACTATTGTCCTATGACCCTGCCAAATCCCCCTCTCCGAGAAACACCCAAGAATGATCAATAAATACTAAAATTAAAAAAAAAAAAATTAAAAATTATGCATATAGATTTTGGAAAGACAACCATAAAGTCAGATCAGTCACATCAGCCTCCTGATGTGATGCAACAGAAGTACACAGCACCACCAATGAAACATGTTTGCGTTAAAACTCAGACACTGATCAAGCATCTAAAATGAATTACCAGCCAGGCATGGTGGCTCACGCCTGTAATCCCAGCACTTTGGGAGGCCGAGGCAGGTGGATACCTGAGATCAGGAGTTCAAGACAAGCCTGGCCAACATGGTGAAACCCTGTCTCTACTAAAAACACAAAAATTAGCTGGGCATGGTGGCACACACCTGTAATCCCAGCTACTTGAGAAGCTGAGGCATGAGAATCGCTTGAACCCGGGAGGCGGAGGTTGCAGTGAACTGAGATTGTGTCATCGCACTCCAACCTGGGTGACAAGAGAGAGACTCCATCTCAAAAATAATAATAATAATAATAATAATAATAAATAAAATAAATTACCTATTTACAGAAAATATGGAGGATAGGTGCAAGTATTAAACGACTCCATGAAGATGTCATCAGCCAAATCCAGAATGTGGGACTTTCTACAGGACAAACAATAAAGTTCTACAAAAAATAAATAGCATGGACAGGATTGGGGTTATAGATTGAGATACGAGATATTCCAACCACTTGTAGTATGTGGGTCTTATTGGAACAAGATTCAAACAAACCAACTGTACAAAGACACTTGTGACATGATTGACAAAAACTGTTTAGCCTAGGTATTACTCGATATGAAGGAATTATTGTTGGCTGGGCATGGTGGCTCATGTCTATAATTCCAGCACTTTGGGAGGCCAAGGTAGGTGGATCGCTTGAGCTCAGGAGGTGGAGACCAGCCTGGGCAACATGGTGAAACCCTATCTCTACCAAAACAAAATAAAACAAAACAAAAATTAGCTGGGTGTGGTGGTGCATGTCTATGGTCCCAGCTACTCCAGAGGCTGAGGCAGGAGAATCGCTTAAGCTTGCGAGGCGGAAGTTGCAGTGAGCCAAGATTATACCACTGCATTCCAGCCTGAGTGACATAGTGACTCTGTCTCAAAAAAAATAAATAAATAAAAATAAAAAATTAGCTGGGTGTGGTGGTACACACCTGTAGCCCCAGACAGTCAGGAGGCTGAGGTGGGAGGATCACTTGGGCCTGGGAGGTGGAGGCTGCAGTGAGCCGTGATTGTGCTGCTGCACTCCAGCCTGGGTGACAGAGTGGAAACCCTGTCTCAAAAAAAAAAAAAAAAAAAGGAATTACTGTTAATTTTGTTGGGTATAATAATGATATTGTGTTTTTTTTTTTAAACAAAACCTGATCTGCTAGAGACACATTTTTTTAAATATATATATATTTTTATTATACTTTAAGTTCTAGGGTACATGTGCACAACGTGCAGGTTTGTTACATATGTATACATGTGCTATGTTGGTGTGCTGCACCCATTAACTCGTCATTTACATTAGGTATACCTCCTAATGCTATCCCTTCCCCCTCCCCCCACCCCACAACAGGCCCAGGTGTGTGATGTTCCCCTTCCTGTGTCCAAGTGTTCTCGTTGTTCATTTCCCACCTATGAGTGAGAACATGAGGTGTTTGGTTTTTTGTCCTTGCGATAGTTTGCTGAGAATGATGGTTTCCAGCTTCATCCACGTCCCTACAAAGGACATGAACTCATCATTTTTTATGGCTGCATAGTATTCCATGGTGTATATGTGCCACATTTTCTTAATCCAGTCTACCATTGTTGGACATCTGGCTTGGTTCCAAGTCTTTACTATTGTGAGTAGTCCCGCAATAAACATACGTGTGCATGTAGAGACACATATTTTTGAAGCAATACAATGTTTGGGATTTGCTTTAAAATACTCCAGGGGAAAAAAATAAAAATGGAGAGAAAAGATGAAACAAGAACAAGGAAGTTGGTTGTTGAAGCTGGGTGATGAATGGAGGTTCACTGTAATAGTCTGTGTGTGTGTTTGAAAATTACAATAAAAGGTATTTTTTTTTTCTTTTTTTTGAGATGGTCTCGCTCTGTTGCCCAGGCTGGAGTGCAGTGGTGCAATCACAGCTCACTGCAAGCTCAACCTCCTGGGCTCAAGCAATCCCCTGCCTCAGCCTCCCAAGCAGCTAGGACTACAGGTGCACACCACCATGCTCAGCTAATTTTTAAATTATTTTGTAGAAACAAGGTCTATGTTGCCCAGGGTAGTCTCAAACTCCTGGGCTCAAGCAATTCTCCTGCCTCAGCCTCCCAGTGAGCCACCATGCCTAGCCCCAATAAAAGGTATTTTTTAAAAAGATTAAGTTGTAGAAGAGTATGTATATAAACTTATTTGGGTAAAAACTAAGTATGTATATGAGTATGTATGTGTGTGGATCCATACACAGACAGACAGGCAGACACACACACACACACACACACACACACACACACACACACACAGAGAGAGAGAGAAAATGCCTAGAAAATACACATTAAACCATCAACAGTTATTTCTGGGATTATAAGGGCTAGGAGACATTGAATTATTATATTCTTACCCTGTTTCAATGTTTTATAACAAATAAGTATTACTTTCACAAGAACATTTTTAAAAAGGAAATCATAAAATGTGAAGTATTTTACATATGTTACAATAATGAATATAGGTATTAGAAAATGGCTTTAGGCCAGGCATGGTGGCTCATGCCTGTAACCCTAGTACTTTGGGAGGCCAAGGTAGGAGGATTACTTATGCCCAGGAGTTTGAGGCTGCAGAGAGCTATGAATGTACCACTGCACTCCAGCCTGGGCAATTAGAGCGAGACTCTGATTGTATTAAAAAAAAAAAAAAAGTCTTTAACAATGTGGAAGAACATACTCAACTGTATTACTTTTTTTTCTTCTTTTTTTTTGAGACAAGTCTCAGTCTGTCACCCAAGCTGGAATGCAGTGGTGTGATCTCGGCTCACTGCAACCTCCACCTCCCGGGTTCAAGCAATTCTCCCTGCCTCAGCTTCCTGAGTAGCTGGGCTTATAGGTGCCCACCACCACGCCCAGCTAATTTTTGTACTTTTTAGTAGAGACAGGGTTTCGCCATGTTGGCCAGGCTGCTCTTGAACTCCTGACCTCAGGTGATCCACCCACCTCAGCCTTCCAAAGTGCTGGGATTACACGTGTGAGCCACTGCACCCGGCCTTTACATGTATTACTTTTGAAATCAGTCAAAAGAATAATAATACATAAAATTTCCTACCCCCCACCCCCCCGCCATGTTCTGGTTTCCACCCCATGTTCTGGTTTTCCCCAATCCTGAAAGTTCTGAGTTCAAGTCCTGGTTCCATCACTGACTGTCCATATGGCCACGGTAGATCTCTTGATGATTTGAATCTCTTTTCTCACCTGAAAAGTGAGAGTATCATGCCTCCTACATGGCTACTGAGGTGGCCTTATGAAATAACACAGTGACCTGGAGGGCCCTCCAAGGCAGGACAGGGCTGTTGCTGTTGGGGAGGCACACATTTCATACCATGTAACCTGGTCCACTGCCACCCCACTTCGTGGACCCAACAAAGCTGTGCATGGCCCATACTCCTACACACAGGCATGAGGGGACAACCAGGATCAAGGTAGGTGTTGGAGTAGGAATGGTTAAGGGACAGTAACAGGTCAGCTCAGAGTTTGCAGGGAGTGGCAGCCTTGTGCCAGGCCAGGCACTGAGACAGGCCTGCATGTCCCAACTGTAGGCAGGCCATATCACTCTCCTTGTAAATCTTAGTAGACACCACATGGTCCCCACCCAGGATCTACAGCCTCATCCTAGCAGGCACTCAAATATTTGCTGAGTGAGGATGGGCACGCATGACTGACTTTGGTCAACTCCCAGCTGGCTGGTCACCAACTTTTCTTTGTAACATATTCTGGGCCCCACAGCTGCATACTCATCCCTGGAGCCACCTCTTCTCACCTTCTCCTACACCTATGCACAGGAATCTCAGTACACCAAGGTGGCATGGCAGAAATCAGCAGCTTCCCCTGGGGATTGTCTACTGAGCACCTACAGAACCATATGGGTCTACCAGGACTGGGACAGTGGCCCAAAACATAGAGGTTCCTGATCGGCTCAGGAACTAGGCAGAAAGAGAATCAGGTCCTGAGCATACCTATATGGCCATCCTGCTAAAATTTCTCATGGTCCCTGTAGAAGCTATAGACTTTCACCTAACCACAGAGCAACCTTGTTGTGGCTAGTTCTGTGCCTCTGTCCCTACCCTGACCATTCTTTTCTCCTGACCAGAATCCACTCTCTAGTTTTCAAAGCATTTCACATCTATCGCTGCATTTTATCCTCATGCCATTTTACAGATGAGGACACTGGGCCAGGGACATTAGAGGACTGCCTAAGGCCAGGACACCACGCAATGCCAAATTCAGACTTCCTAACACAATATTCAGCACTCTCTTCATTCTTATGTTTTTCTATTAACATGCTGCTTTACAAAATTAAATACCTGGTTTTTGTCTTCCCTCAAATTTATCGTGCAATGTTGTAACTTTTGTGCTGTTTGAAATGAGTACAGAGTAAATTAATCACTCATCCACTTATTCATTCAACCAACCAGCAGTTTTCCAATGCCAATTACATTTGAGGTCTGGTGCTACCAACTGTGGAGGAGTTACAAAGAGGAATAAGACCAAGTTGAGGTCTTGGAGTCTAGTACAGGAGCTGAAGGCACATAGATTAATTTTAAGAATTCTAAACAAGGGGCTCCATCAAACTCACCTGTTTTTCCTTTCGTTGTTGTTTTTGCCTGTTTTTCTTAAACAAAGCATCCTCTCACCCCACGAAAGATCTGGTTCCCAGATCCCTTCAGAGATTTAAATAGGATCTGGACCTAGATCAGGCCTAAGAATCTGTATGCTTTTAATGTAGCCCTCACTTTCTACCCTAGATGATTCTCTAATTAACAGAGTTT
Source organism: Homo sapiens (assembly GCF_000001405.40). NCBI lineage: Eukaryota > Metazoa > Chordata > Mammalia > Primates > Hominidae > Homo > Homo sapiens. Next base: position 31,178,402 of record NC_000022.11, on the reverse strand, counting down.
TGGAAACCCAGCTCTAGAAGAGGGTACAGCTCTATCAATAGCACAAAGCAATACCAACAAAATACAGTATTTTAGAAGGACAGAAACCTCAGGGCCTATCCAGCTACAATCCACAGGGACTACAGAGAGGTCAGATAAACTTGGGGGGTAAGGGACAAATCTGCTGAATTCAGATTAATCAGCATTTAGTCCAACTGGAACACAGCTGATCATTTTAAGAAATAAGTTCACACCTAGTTTTAAAAAACAGTCCTAACTTTGAGATGTCCAGGGCAACACATGTGGTGCTGGGACTAACGCGGATTTGCAATACTTAATGATCCTGTAGGAACACAGAGCCTGGCGGCTGAAGTTGACTGACCCAGTATCTTCAATATATTACCTTCCCAGAGCTGGCCTTTGGTCTACTTGGTCTGGCCCACCTCACAGGAATTGAGCAAGAAAGAGAACACGAGAGTTGAATATCCCTGCAGGAACCACCAGGGAACTTGATCTCATGAGGAAATTTCTCTGTAGCATTCTTAAATTCAATTATCAAGTTCTAGAGAACTGTAGGAATTCATCATCTGCCTTTTCTGTCCCTTTAACTCCAAGAATTTCTAGACCAGGGTGTAGTGAGACACCTAGAAATGTTAATCTTAGATATGAAGACTATGAATTTGGGTGATAAATAACAGGCATGATCCCAGCAGAGGTCTCATTTCTGTGAGCACATGCTTATTCACACAGAAGCTTTCTGCCAGGAACCCTGGCATGCCTGAGCCTGTCTACGCTGCTCATTAGACTGCTGCTGGACCACACGTAGGCAGAAATGGGACCTGCATTCCAAGAATGTCTACATCACACTCATAGAAGGCTGGAATGGGAAGAACTCTGAATAAGTTTATTGGAACTTGGAAACACATAAACCAGCTTTGAAATTTTAAAGTCTAAGTGGTGTTTAGGTTCCTAGGCTAGCCCATGGAGATTTGGCCCTCAAATACAGGATCAGAAGAACAGAGAAGGCTGAAAGGACTGGCTTCTTTTCATTGGGGCTGCACTGGTCCTTTTCTCTGGTTCCCTCTAATCTTCCTATCTACTTAGTAGATAGGAATGAATCTTCAAAGATTCATTAAAGATCCTATTATTTGCCAGGCATTCAAGATACAGAAATAAAACTTTTTTTTCAGTCTAAAGGGAGACACAGACAAGTGAACCAACAAGGCAACCCAGTGTACTGGGAACTGACAGAAGTGTGTACATAGTACCTGAAGACAGGGAATGCTGGGGAGGATGTAGACACAGTACAAGGAACAAGTGCATAATTCATGGTAAGGCAGCAAGGGCTGGGACTAAGGGAAGAAGAAAAGCCTTTGACTCTCAGTGCCCTTCAGCCCTGGCCTGCCTGGCTCACATACCCTATAGGGTACCTAACCCAGATCTGCCTAACCTTCCAAAGGGCTCCATGATTTTAACGTCTCTTTTTCTCCCCAACTAGCTCCCATTACCTGGTTAAATAAACTGGTACGTCCACATAATAGATTACACAGCCACTAAAAATAATGCTTCCACAGAGATTTTGCTTACGTAGGAATTTCAATTACATGACATAATGTTAAGTGAAAAAAACAGGATGGGCTGGACACGGTGGCTCACGCCTGCAATCTCAGCAGTTTGGGAGGCTGAGGCAGGCGGATCACGAGGTCAGGAGATCGAGACCATCCTGGCTAACACGGTGAAACCCCGTCTCTACTAAAAATACAAAAAATTAGCCGGGCATGGTGGCGGGCACCTGTAGTCCCAGCAACTCGGGAGGCTGAGGCAGGAGAATGGTGTGAACCTGGGAGGCGGAGCTTACAGTGAGCTGAGATCGCACCACTACACTCCAGCCTGGGTGACAGAGCAAGACTCTGTCTAAAAAAAAAAAAAAAAGAAAAAGAAAAAAGCAGGATGTAAAATTGTATACAAAGTTGAATATATATGTGGCCAGGTGCGGTGGGTCATACCTGCATTCCTAGCACTTTGGGAGGCTGAGGCAGGAAGATTGCTTGAGCCCAGGATTTGGAGCAGCTGGGAGTCTGACACAGGAGAATTGCTTGAACCTGGGAGGGAGAGGCTGCAGCGAGCCCACTGCACTCCAGCCTGGGCGACAGAGCGAGATTCTGTCTCAAAAAAAAAAAAAATTGAATTTATTTGTTATCAGCAGGTTAAAAAGATACCAAAAAAAGAGGTCAAAAATATTAACTGTAGTAGTCTCCGGACAGTGGACTTATGGACAAATTTCTTAAGCTTTAAAAAATACTTACATGTACTTGCCACCTTTTCCATAGTGAGTACTCTGTTAATACTCAGGAGAAAATAGGCCAAGCATGGTGGCTCACATCTGTAATCCTAGCACTTTGGGAGGCCAAGATGGGAGGATTGGTTGAGGCCAGGAGTTCGAGACCAGCCTGGTCAACACAGAGAGCTCCCATCTCAAATTACAAAATAAAAGATGTGAAAGGTCCAATACCTTCAGATCTCAGTAGAGAACAAAAAGGAAACCAATCTGAATTAAGTACATTCACAACTGAGGTGTGAATGGTCCTTAGAATAATAATCATCTCAGAAATTTTAACAATTTTAATTTTATGAATTTATTTTTTTAATAAGTAACACGTTTACATGGCTCAAAATTCAATAGGTACAACAAAAGGATATAGGCTGAAAAGTCTCTCCCTATCCCTGGAACCCAACAGCCCTGTTTTCTACCTTCAAGACTGCTTGACTATATTATTAGTATAAACCCTAGAAGTAGAACTGCAGGGTCAAAGTATTTATATTTGTAACTTTGAGACAGTGCTGAATACCCCCAGGGAAGATGTGCCAATTTATATTCCTATGAGAAATACATAAGACATTTGTTTCCCTAAGTCCTTGACAATGACATGTATGTTTTCCAAAAGATGATATATGGCTTTTTTTTTTTTTTGAGACAGTTTCACTCTTGTTGCCCAGGATGGAGTGCAATGGCGTGATCTCGGCTCACTGCAACCTCCACCTACCGGGTTCAAGCAATTCTCCTGCATCAGCCTCCTGAGTAGCTGGGATTACAGCTGTGCGCCACCACATCCAGCTAGTTTTTTGTTTGTTTGTTTGTAGAGATGGGGTTTCGCCATGCTGCCCAGGCTGGTCTTGAACTCCTGGGCTCAAGCAATCCACCTGCCTCAGCCTTGGCCTCCCAAATTGCTGAGATTACAGGCAATCAGCCACCAAGCCCAGAGATAACACATATCTGAGTGGGGATTCTAGAGCCAGCTGTTCCTACTTTTTCACATTTTCGTCCACTACTTTTTTTTTTTTTTTTTAATTTGAGACGGAGGCTCGCTCTGTCGCCCAACTGAAGTGCAACGGCGCGATCTCGGCTCACCGCAACCTCTGCCTCCTGGGTTCAAGCGATCCTCCCATCTCAGCCTCCCAAGTAGCTAGGATTACAGGCACCCGCCACCACACCCAACTAATTTTTTTGGTATTTTTCGTAGAGGCCGAGTTTCAGCATGTTGGTCAAGCTGGTCTCGAACTCCTGACCTCAGGTGATCCGCCCACCTCGGCCTCCCAAAGTGCTGGGATTACAGGCATGAGCCACCACACCCAGCCTCTTCCATTATTTTTAAATACAAAGAATGTTTTGTTCATTTGTTGGGTTTTAAGCTTCAATTATTTTTGAAAAATTACCATGTTTCATTTTTAAAAAAGGACAAAATGGAGGACAAGAATGGTGGCTCACTCCTGTAATCTTAGCACTTTGGGAGGCCGAGGCAGGAGGATCAGTTAAGGCCAAGAGTTCAAAACTAGCCTGAACAATATAGTGAGACTCCATCACCAAAAAAATTTAAAATTAGCCAGGTATGGTGGCGTGTGCCTGTAGTTCTAGCTCCTTGGGAGGCTGAGGCAGGATGCTCACTTGAGCCCAGGAGCTCAAGGCTGCAGTGAGCGATGATGACGCCACTGCACTCCAACCTAGGAGACAGAAGGAGACTCTGTTTCTTAAATTAAAAAAAAAAATTTTTTTTAAAGAGTGAAATGGGATTTGTACTACCACTGGCACAAACTTTTAAGTGTCATCTAAGAAGTTGCCTTTTGTCATAAAATGTTCCTTAACTTTTTTCCTTAAAAACTAGCACGGCACAGAGGAATGTGATGGCTGAGTTCAAATCTCAGCTCTGCAACTTATTCTGTGATTTCAGACAAGTTATTTTCTTTCTGAGCCTTTGTTTTTCTCATTTGCTAAAATGAGGCTAATATCTTCCTCACAAGACAGTTCTAAGAAATAGAGATAAAACAGTACGGGACTAGCATAGTGCCTGGCACATAGTTAAGTACTCATGAAATGTTAATCCCCCTCCCTTTTAAGGTCTCTGAGTTCACTGAAGGTAAACTGTTTTTGTATATTCCTCATAGACATATGCAACCAGCAGGTACTTGGTTAATTTGCTGAGTAAATGAGTCACAACTTTCCTTTCTCAATGAGCATCATTCCTTGAATGCAGAGTAGATGAGACATCAGAACTGTGTATGTTTATGAACTGAGAGGAAATCTAAAATTAGATACAATTTGACCCAGAGAAAATCAGATTTTCCCCAAGTGTTAAAATTAGGGGACACTTGTTATATTTCTTATCACTATAAGTAACATAGCTAACACTGCTCAGCCCTCTACATGAATTATCTCATTTAATCTTTATGGCCTGCCTTTAGGTAAACACTACTGTATCATCATTAGCATCCCTTGGGATGTTAAATAAAGGCTCAGAGTAGTTAGGTCACTTGCCCATGGTCACAGACCTAGTCAGAGGCAAAGCTTCCCAACCCAAGCCAACGTCCTTAACAAATGGTAACTCAGTGATCTGTTCTTGTGCGTCTTGTCAAGCGCAGACCCAGCTTCCAGGTTCCTTACTCAGCACAGGGCTAGGTGCCTCAGGAGCACCTGATATATACATACGTGTGTGTGTGTGTGTGTGTGTGTGTCTGTGTGTGTGTGAATGAGTTGACAGATCTGATGCCCAGGAGCAATTAGAACTGTACAACTCAATATAGCCAACTAGAGTTGTGGAAAATCAGTATCCTATAACAGCAAAACATGCTGTTCAGAACTGGAAATGTTACATAACTTAGAGTCAATTTTTTTTTTTTTAAGTATTACCCAAAACTCTTACACAAATGAAAAAAAAATTGAGGGATCTGCAACCAGAAGTAGTTTCAAGTTTTCTCAAATTTCTCCCTATTAAAGATAACATACTCACACAGAGGTTTGGTTATCCACTGAACTATTACCCACTCCAGTGAGATACCTCCTAGGGCCAACAGCACAGTTCCTGACAGGAAGTAGATGTTTGATTAAGGTATGTGAATGAATGAAGGGGATTTAATTTCAATCAAACCAATACAGCTGAGGAAAATAGTGTTTTAAAGAAAAGCTCTTCAGACTGGACAGATACCAGTCAAGGGCTGTGAATTTCTAGTATAACACCATGAAAGAAATAATCTGGAGCCAGAGGACTTAGCCTAAGGCTCAGGTCTGTCACTCACTATGCCAGTGTCCTTACCTGCAAATGGGGAATAATTGTTCCAGCCATCCCTTTGTCATGAGAAAAGTTTAAAAAATAAGGGTTTTGCTTTTTTTTTTTTTTTTTTTTGAGACGGGGTCTCACTCTGTTGCTCAGGCTGGAGTGTAGTGGCAAGATCTTGGCTCACTGCAACCTCTGCTTCCTGGGTTCAAGTGATTCTCCTGCCTCAGCCTCCTGAGTAGCGGGGACCACAGGTGTGCACCATCATGACTGGCCAATTTTTGTATTTTTAGTAGAGATGGAGTTTCACCTTGTTGGCCAGGCTGGTCTTGAACTCCTGACCTCAGGTGATGCGCCTGCCTCGGCCTCCCAAAGTGCTGGGATTACAGGCATGAGCCACCGCGCCCAGCCTTGTTGTTATTTTAAATAAGTATGAAACAGTGCCTAGCCCCTATTAGACAAAGAAATTAATGAGGAAGCAGTAAGATTAATATTCTGAATTCATGATTGCAGGTGTGCACCACAATGCCTGCCTAATTTATTTGTATTTTCAGTAGAGACAGGGTTTCGCCATGTTGGTCAGGCTGGTCTCGAACTCCTGACCTCAAGTGATCTGCCCGCCTCAGCCTCCCAAAATGCTGGGATTACAGGCATTAGCCACCACACCTGGCCAGGTTTCACTTTTATTTTCACACAGTCAGTGAAATCTCATTAATTCATATTCTATAAAATGTCATTAATTCATATTTTACCTGAGGTTGAGCTAAAGACCTCTAAGATATTCTGAAGGTAGAGTATAAAAACAATAAGTTTGACAAGATCTAACCAATTAAGTAGAAAACTTTTTAAATTTTAATACCCGGTATATACTTGACAAAACAATGATCTCACTTCTCCTTTCTTTTTTTTGAGATGGAGTTTCGTTCTTGTTGCCCAGGCTGGAGTGCAATGGCGCAATCTTGGCTCACCGCAACCTCCGCCTCCTAGGTTCAAGCGATTCTCCTGCCTCAGCCTCCTGAGTAGCTGGGATTACAGGCATGCACCACCACACCTGGCTAATTTTGTATTTTTAGTAGAGATGGTGTTTCTCCATGTTGGTCAGGCTGGTCTCAAACTCCCGACCTCAGGTGATCCGCTTGCCTCGGCCTCCCAAAGTGCTGGGATTACAGGCACAAGCCACCATGCCCAGCCTCTCACTTCTTTCAACAGAAGGTCCTGACTAGGACCAACTGTGATTAAAGATAAAACCAAAATGATACCATTTTGAAAAGTCTATAATATTGACTTTTACAAATTGCTCTTGTGCCTTGAGCCACCTCCATTGTATTTGTTACCAGTGCTGTTTGGCAAACACTTAGAGAATGCCAACTACCAGACCCATGATAAAAATAAATCAGGGCTGGGTGCAGTAGCTCACGCCTGTAATCCCAGCACTTTGGGAGGCCAAGGCGGGTGGATCGCCTGAGGTCAGGAGTTCAAGACCAGCCTGGCCAACATAGTGAAACCCTGTCTCTACTAAAAACACCAAAAAAAAAAAAAAATTAGCTGGTCATAGTGGTGGGCGCCTGTAATCCCAGCTACTAGGGAGGCTGAGGCGGGAGAATCACTTGACCCAAGGAGGCGGAGGTTGCAGTGAGCCAAGATGGCGCCATTGCACTCCAGCCTGGGCAACAAAACTCTGTCTCAAAAATAAATAAATAAATAAATAAATAAATAAATAAGTAAATCAGAGAAGGTCCTGGTTCCTGTGCTCAAGGAGTTTATAACCAAGTCAGAATGTAACTATTAAAAAACAAAAAGCTTCTCACACTAAGAAGTGCCTTGGCAGAGATGATAGTGTTAAGAAAAAACAACAAACTTCCTTAGGCTTTGCCCAGGATCCACTCCTGTATTCAGAGACCTGTCCATCTTTAAAAACCCCCACATGCCAGGCACAGTGGAACATGCCAGCTACTCAGGAGGCTGAGGCAGGAGGATTGCTTGAGGACAAGAGTTTGAGACCAGCCTGGGCAGCATACAAAGACCTTGTCTCAAAAATAAATAAATAAATATTAAAAAATAAAAACCTGGCCAGGCGTGGTGGCTCACACCTGTAATCCCAGCACTTTGGGAGTACAAGGTGGGTGGATCATCTGAGGTCAGGAGTTCGAGACCACCTTAGCCAACATGGTGAAACCCTATCTCTACTAAAAAATACAAATTAGCTGGGTGTGGTGGCACATGTCTGTAATCCCAGTTACTTGGAAGGCTGAGACATGGGAATCGCTTGAACCCTGGAGGTGGAGGTTGCAGTGAGCTGAGATCATACTACCGCACTCCACCCTGGGTGACAGAGTGAGACTCTGTCTCAATAAATAAATAAAATAAATAAAAAATAAAAACCACATCTGGCCAGAGGTGGTGGCTCATGCCTGTAATCCCAGCACTTTGGGAGGCCAAGGCGGGTGGATCACAAGGTAAGGAGATCGAGACCATCTGGCTAACATGGTGAAACCTCGTCTCTACTAAAAATACGAAAAAAATTAGCCAGGCCTGGTGGCAGGCAAATGTAGTCCCAGCTACTCGGGGGGCTGAGGCAGGAGAATGGCATGAACCCGGGAGGCGGAGCTTGCAGTGAGCAGAGATTGCACCACTGCACTCCAGCCTGGGCGACTGAACAAGACTCTGTCTCAAACAAACAAACAAAAAAAAAAAACAAAAAACCACATCACTGTTACATCACAAGGCACTTCTGAGGAGCAATTAAGAGAGCGAGTATCAGAGTCAGGTGCTATAGAAACTATCACAGGAATTAACCTGGCAACTGGACCCAGGACAGAATGGCCAGTGAGTCCCCTAGGCCATTTCCACAGAAGCAGACACAATCTGGCTCAATGAACATAGAAGTGCTGCTTCTAATCTTTGCATGTCCTTAGGCCAGCTGGAAGACAAGGATCCAACACTCGGGAGCTTTGTTCCCAACGACCAATGAAATGAAGAGATGGACTCCTGTCATCTACAGCAGATGCAGAGTAGAGAAGTACGGTTTGAAGGCTGGGTGTGGTGGCTCAGCCAGTAATCCCAGCACTTTGGAAGGTGGAGGCAGGCAGATCACTTGAGCCCAGAAGTTTGAGACCAGCCTGGGTAACATGGCAAAACCCCATCTCTACAAAAAAATACAAAAATTAGCCAAGAGCAGTGGCGCATGCCTGTGGTCCCAACTACTCAAGAGGCAAAGGTGGGAGGACTGCTTGAGTCCGGGAGGCAGAGGTTGCAGTGAGCTGAGATCACGCCACTGCACTCCAGCCTCGGCGACAGAGAGACCCTGTCTTTAAAAAACTAAAAATTAAAAAAAGAGAAGTAGGGTATGATAACCAGGCAGCAATTAGGGCCGCCTCTGAGAATTTTAAACCAGGAGCCACTTGGTCATGACTTTAAAAACTATATTTCTGGCAATGATTTCTTGGAATGACACCAAAAGTACAGGTAACAAAAGAAAAAGTAGACAAATTGGATTTCATAAAAATTTAAAAATTTTGTGCATAAAAAGACACTACCAATAGAGTAAAATGGCAATTCACAGAATGGGAGAAAATATTTGCAAATCATATATCTGAAAAGGAATTAATATCCTGAATACATAGATAACTCCTAAAACTTAACAACAAACAACCTGATTCAAAAGTGGGGCCAGGTATGGTGGCTCAGGCCTGTAATTCCAGCACTTTGGGAGGCTTAGGCAGGCAGATCACTTGAGGTCAGAAGTTTGAGACCAACTTGGGCAACATGGTGAAACCTTGTCTCTACTAAAAATACAAAACAAATTAGCCAGGTGTGGTGGCACACGCCTGTACTTCCAGCTACGTGCGAGGCTGAGGCAAGATAATTGCTTGAACCCAGGAGGTGGAGGTTGCAGAGCCCAGATTCCACCACTGCACTCCAGCCTGGGCAAGAGAGAGAGAGACTCTGTCTCAAAAAAAATTTTTAAAGGGTGGTGGTGGGGCGGGGGGGCAAAGGACTTGAATAGAGACATTTCTTCAAAGAAGAAATACAAATGTCCCAAAAGTACACAGAAGGGTGCTCAACATCACTAATCATCAGGGAAATGCAAATCAAAAGCACAATGAGATACCATCAGAATGACTACTATTTTTATAACACCAGAAAATAACAAGTTTTGGCAAGGATGTAGAGAAATAGAACCCCTGTGCTCTGTTGGTGGGAATGTAAAATGGTACAGCTGCTGTGGAAAACAGCACAGAGGCTCCTCAAAAAAATTAAAAACTGAACTACCATATGATCCAGCAATTCTACCTCTAGGTATGTACCCAAATAATTGAAAGCAAGGTCGCAAAGAAATAGCTATACATCAATGTTCACAGTAGCAGTATTCACAATAGCTGAAACATGGAAGCAATCCAAGTTTGCATCGACAGATGAATGGATAAGCAAAATACATACAACGGAAAATCATTTTATCTTAAAAAGGAAGAAAAATTCTCACATATGCTACAACATAAATGAACCTCAAGAACATCATGTTAGGTGAAGTAAGTCAGTCAAAGGAAGACAAATACTAAGCTGGGTGCAGTGGTGCCCACACATAACCCCAGCTACTTGGGAGGCTGAGGCAGAAAGTTCACTTAAACCCAAGAGTCTGACACCAGCCACACGGTTAGGCCTCATCTTCAAAAATAAAAAGGACAAATACTGTATGATTCTACTTATATGACGTACTTAGAGTAAACAAAATCATAGAGACAGAAAGTGGAATAGTGGTTGGCAGTGGCTAGGGGGAAGAAGAAATAGGGAGTTATTGTTTAATAGACACAGAGTTTCACTTTTGCAAGATGAAAACAGTTCTGGAGGTAGATGGTGGTGATGTTTCTAGAACATGAATGTACTTAATACCACTGAGCTGTACATTTAAAAAAATGGTTACGATGGTAAATTTTATATGAATTTCACTACAATTTAAAAAACTGGGCCCAGGTACGGTGGCTCATGCCTATAATCCCAGCACTCTGGGAAGCCAAGGCAGGCGGATCACTTGAGGTCAGGCGTTCGAGACCAGCCTGGGCAAATGGCAAAACCCCATCTCTACTAAAAATACAAAAATGAGCCAGGTGTGGTGGTGAGCGCCTGTAATTCCAGCTATTTGGGAGGCTGAAGCACAATAATTGCTTGAACCCAGGATGCGGAGGTTGAAGTGAGCTGAGATGACACCACTGCACTCAGCCTGGGTGACAACGGAGTGAGACTGTCTCAAAAAAAAAAAAAAAAAAAAAGGAAAAAACCCCCCTACGTTTCCATAAAAGGTCATACATTGTGTGATTTTCTTATTAGAATCTTATTAGAAATATCCAGAATAGGCAAATTCATACAGATAGAAAGTGGATCAGAGGTTACCAGGAGCTGGGGGGAGGAGAGAATGAGGAGTTATTGCTTCATGGGTAGAGTTTCTGTTTGGTATGCTGAAAAAGTTTTAGAAATAGTGGTGATGGTTATACAACATTGTGAATTTACTTAATGCCACTGAATTGTACATTTAAAAATAATTAAAATGGGCCAGGCACAATGGCTCACTGCTGTAATTCCAGCACTTTAGGGGGCTGAGGCAAGAGGATTGCTTGAGCCTCAGAGGTTGAGGCTGCAGTGAGTTGCCACTACACTTCAGCCTAGGCCACAGAGTGAGACCCTATCTCAAAAAAAATTTAAATAGATAAAATTAGTTAAAACAGTAAATATTGTTATGTACATCTTACCACAATAAAAAAAATTTTAAGAAAATCTATGCTCCTTATTTAAAAATCAAAACTACATTTCTATCCCACTAAGAACACACCAAGTACTTATTATACACATTACGTCTACATAGTAAGACTTATTAAATAAATGAACAGTTAAGGAAATGGAAATCTATGTAGGCCATCAGAAGTAACGCTTATAGGCCAGGTGTGGTGGCTCACGCCTGTAATCCCAACACTTTGGGAGGCTGAGGTGGGTGGATCGTCTGAGGTCAGGAGTTCGAGACCAGCCTGGCCAGCATGGTGAAATCCCGTTTCTACCAAAAATACAAAAATTAGCTGGGCATGGTGGCAGGCACCTATAATCCCAGCTACTCGGGAGGCTGAGGCAGGAGAATCATTTGAACCCGGGAGGTGGAGGTTGCAGTGAGCCAAGATCGCACCATTGCACTCCAGCCTGGGCAACAGAGCCAGACTCTGTCTCGAGAAGAAGAAGAGGAAGAGGAAGAGGAAGAAGAAGAAGAAGAAGGAGGAGGAGGAGGAGGGGAAGGGAAGGGGAAGGGGAAGGGGAAGAAGAAGAAGAAGAAGAAGAAATGCTTATAGAAGAGGCTGGCAAAAACATGGAGACATTAAAATTAAAGTGTGTGTTTTCTTCAGTTTTAGATGTTAATAAGAAAAAGCAAGATATGGACCTGTGTACAGTGAGTGATTCCAACTATTAAAAATGTGCCCCGTAGCAGGAAACAAGAAGGAAATATAGCAACTGCAACAAAGGTTCTCTAGATACTAGAGCTAGGGATGACTAGGGTGGGGAGAGGGAGATTTTTCTGTATTTCCCAAAATGTCTAAAATGAGCACATCGGCAGGGCATGGTGGCTCATGCCTGTAATCCCAGCACTTTGGGAGGCTGAGGTGGGCGGATCACTTGAGGTCAGGAGTTCGAGACCAGCCTGGCCAAGATCATGAAACCCCATCTCTACTAAAAATACAAAAATTAGTCGGGCATGGTGGCACTTGCCTGTAATTCTAGCTACTCAGGAACTGAGGCACGAGAATTGCTTGAATCTGGGAGATGGAGGCTGCAGTGAGTCAACACTGTGCCACTGCACTCCAGCCTGGGCAACAGAGCAAGACTCCATCTCTAAAAAAAAATAATAATAAAATAAGCACATACTACTTTCACAATTTACATTACTGAAGCTTTTGTTTGTTTCAAGGTATGTGTCCAAGATGGTTTGGTTATGGCCAAATGCTGTAGGGTCAAGATAGGCCTAGGAGCACTGTAGTTATGTAGCTATGAGCAGCTAGTCCTGAGCATTCAAACCACCACTGACTCCTCTACTCCCTGCCTATAACCAGACATACAGCAGAGTGGCACCCAAAATGAAGGCTCCCTGACTAGTCTTATCATATCTTGGATGACAACCTCATTTCTGGACGCAAATAGTACCCTTCCTTTCACTTGCCCATGGCCACTCCAACTCCACATGGCCAGAAGTGGCTGGGTTTGAGTCAAGCTCTGCATGGTCAGTAGCCTCAAATGGAAATTTACTTTGTGCTTTAGTATGTCCAAATCCAACTACATTCAGATCAGGGACATACTGGCATTGCCTCAGAATTTGCAGGTCAAATCACTGAGTTATTTCAAGAGATCTGCAAACTCTTTGAATACCTACATTCAAAATTGTACACGATAACAAATAACTCAATTACAAAATGAGCAAAAGATCTAAACAGACATTTCTCCAAATAAGATATGCAGATGGCCAATAAGAACATCATCATCATCATCATCAGCCATTAAGGAAATGCAAATCAAAACCACAATGAGATATCACTTCACACCCACTAGGAGAGATATAATTTTTTTAGTGGGCAATAACAAGTGTTGTGGATGCGGAGAAACTGGAACCCTCATAAATTTTAGTGCAAATGGCCAGGCGCAGTGGCTCACACCTGTAATCCCAGCACTTTGGGAGGCTGAGGCAGACAGATCACCTGAGGCCGGGAGTTCCAGACCAGCTTGACCAACATAGAGCAACCCTGTCTCTACTAAAAAAAAAAAAATACAAAATTAGCCGGGCGTGGTGGTGCATGCCTGTAATCCTAGCTCCTCGGGAGGCTGAGGTAGGAGAATCGCTTGAACCTGGGAGGCAGATGTTGCGGTGAGCCAAGATTGCGCCACTGCACTCCAGCCTGGGCAATAAGAGTGAAATTCCATCTCAAAAACAAACAATTAAAAAAAAAATAAATTTTAGTGCAAATGCAGGCCGGGTGTGGTGGCACACCTGTAATCCCAGAACTTTGGGAGGCCGAGGCAGGTGGATCACCTGAGGTTGGGACTTCAAGACCAGCCTGCCCAACATGGTGAAACCCCACTCTACTAAAAATACAAAAAACAGCTGGGCATGGTGGCACACGCCTGTAATTGCAGCTATTCAGGAGGCTGAGGCAGGAGAATCGCTTGAACCCGGGAGGGGGGTTGCAGTTAGCTGAGATCATGCCACTGTATTCCAGCCTGGGTGACAGGGTGAGACTCCGTCTCAAAAAAAAAAAAAAAAAAAAAAAGACAATGAGGAACTGTCCCAGATATCTGATGAGACCAGGGAGACTTGACAACTAAATGTGATGTAGGATCCAGGATTGGGTCCTGGAACAGAAAAAGGACACAGTGGGACAAATAGCAAAATCTGAATAAAGTCTCTAGATTAGCTAGTAATATTGTATTAATGTTAAATTTCTTGTTTGGATAATTCTGATATAATTATGTACAGTTTTGACATTAGGTGAAGTTAGATGACAGATATACAGAAAGTTTGTGAATTATTTTTGCAAGTTTAGTATAAGAGTAAAATTATTTCAAAATAAAAAGGCCAGGCGCAGTGGCTCACGGCTGTAATCCCAGCACTTTGGGATGCCAAGGCGGGTGGATCACCTGAGGTCAGGAGTTCAGGACCAGCCTGGCCAACACGGTGAAACCCACCTCTACTAAAAATACAAAAATTGGCCAGGTGTGGTGGCACATGCCTGTAATCCCAGCTACTTGGGAGGCTGGGGCAGGAGAATCGCTTGAACCTGGGAGGCACAGGTTGCAGTGAGCTGAGACTGTCCCACCGCATTCCAGCCTGGGCAACAAGAGTGAAACTCCATCTAAAAAATAATAATAATAATAATAAGGGGCCAGGCACGGTGGCTCAAGCCTGTAATCCCAGCACTTTGGGAAGCTGAGGTGGGTGGATCACTTGAGGTCAGGAGATTGAGACCATCCTGGCCAACATGGTGAAACCCCGTCTCCACTAAAAATACAAAAATTAGCCAGGCAAGGTGGCGTGCACCTGTAGTCCCAGCTACTCAGAAGGCTGAGGCAGGAGAATTGCTTGAGCCCGGGAGGTGGAGGTTACAGTGAGCCGAGATTGCGCCACTGCACTCCAGCCTGGAGGACAGAGTGAGACTCCGTTTCAAATAAATAAATAAATAAATAAATAAATAAATAAAATAAAATAAAAAGTTAAAAAACAATACATGGCTGGGAGTGGTGGCTCATACCTGTAATCCTAGCACTTTGAGAGGCTGAGGCAGGAGAATCATTTGAGCTCGGAGATTTGAGACCAGCCTGGGCAACATAGTGAGACCTCATCTCTACAAGAAACCTAAAAGTTAGCTGGGTGTGGTGGTGTGTGCCCGTAGTCCCAACTACTCGGGTGGCTGAGGTGGGAAGATGGCTTCAGCCCAGGAGGTCAAGGCTGTAGTAGGCTATGTTCGTGCCACTGCACTCCAGCCTGGGCAACAGAGCGAGTCACTGTCTCAAAAAAAAAAAATGTACACGATGCAGGTCAGGAATTGGCAATTTTTTTTCCATAAAGGGCCATAGAGTAAATACTTCAGACTCTGTGGACCATATGGTTTTTATGGGAAGTAATCAACTCCACTGAGTAGCATTAAAGCACCCAAAGACAATATGTAAATATATATGAATATAAATAAATGGGTGTGACTGAAATGAACACTGAAATTTTATCTTCCTGTAATTGTCACCTATGTAATATTATTCTTCTTTTATTTCCCATCATTTAAAAATGTAAAAAGCAGGCCAGACGTGGTGGCTCACGCCTGTAATCCCAGCACCTTGGGAGGCTGAGGCGGGCAGATCACGAGGTCAGGAGATCAAGACCATCCTGGCTAACACAGTGAAACCCTACCTCTACTAAAAATACAAAAAATTAGCCAGTCATCGGGGTGGGCGCCTGTAGTCCCAGCTATTCGGGAGGCTGAGGCAGGAGAATGGCATGAACCCAGGAGGCGGAGCTTGCAGTGAGCTGAGATGGAGCCACTGCATTCCAGCCTGGGCAACAGAGCGAGACTCCGTCTTAAAAAAAAAAAAAAAAGAAAGAAAAATGTAAAAAGCACCCTTAGCTCACAGACCATATAAACAAGCAGTAGGTCCAGGTTTGGTTCACAGCCTATATATAGTATGCAGATCCCCACTCTAGGTCAGAATTTGCTAACGTGTGCTTCAATTAAAAAAAAAAAAAAGATTTGACATCAAGTAGATTAAACAAATGGAACAAGTTATTATCTTGGCTTATAAGGCACATTTCCTTATTGCAGGACCTCTCAGTGGTTTTAATGTGGTATTACACATTGAGAAGCTCCAAGAAAGAATAATGGTATGTGGCTTTCTCAAACTTATTATTAGCATCAAATCCTTTTTTCAGAGCCACTTCTTCAGACCAGTGGCCTGAAGAACATACTTATGAGAATGTCAATTCAGACACTTCTTTAAAAGGAAACTTTTAGATCGAGAAGTTCTAAAAACTCCAACAAATTAAGATCATTTTACCCAGTACCTGGATAACATCTGAATAAGCATTTCACAACTTTTTTATTTTTTAATCTTGGGAAACACAAGTCGATAACTGGCAGGAAGTTTTGGCTCAACCCTAACTTTTGTGGCGGCGGGGGAGCAAGTCAGCAGAACTGGGTCATAATATGGAGCCTCTGCTCCCTAAGACAACATAAACATTCCTAAGCATTCTAGCAGGTGTTGAAAAAGTGATTTAGGCAGAGCTTTGTAATGCACAAAATAAGGACATAATAATGTTTGATTAGAAAACCAAAGGTATGCTAGAGGCCAGGCACAGTGGCTTACACCTGAAATCCCAGCACTTTGGGAGGCTGAGGCAGGCGGATCACTTGAGGTCAGGAGTTCGAGACCAGCCTGGCCAACATGGTGAAACCCCATCTCTACTAAATACTCAAAAAAAAAAAAAAAAAAGCTGGAACTTGTCATGTGTGTGAACTGGCAAGTCAAGTCTATAAGAGGACTGTTTTTATATGATGCATGGAAAGCTAGCCAACAGACTGCAAAAATTCTCTCACATCTATACACATATTGCTGAAGAGAGGATTCAAGCAGGGATTATGTTCCAGGGAAGAGAAGGCTGGTCTGAACAACCTCAAGGGGTGCTTTCAACTGAGAGTCCTCAATTTTGTGATTCAGAGTTCACTGGCTTCTCCTGGTCAAACATAAAATCTTCAGAGGCATTTCCAACTTGTTCTTAGAAAAAAGCTACTAACCCATGGGGTGGGACCCAGTTTACTTATTCATTCAATAAACATTTAAGGTGCCTCTATCAGATATTGGGTCATTCCAAAGTCCTTGAAAAGAAGGATGGTGCACAGGACAACCAGGAAGAGATTATGTAAGGTCAGATGCATTGGCCTTATTTACAGGAGATGTAGGCTAAAGTGATGGAAGTGTCAAAAGAGAAGAAAAAAGTCACATTTGCCTTGAGAGCAGAGTCAGCACCAGAAAGATGCAGAACAACTCCTTGGAATCACAGACTTTCAAGTTGGAAAGGACCTTCATCTAATACCTATATACCTCCCTCGAAAGGAGGCACGGAGGCAATCCATTCACTCCATCGGTGGTCACCTCTGACGATTCTTCCATTTAAGTTCTTCTATTAAGCAAAAATCTTGCCTTCCTGTAGAATTCACCTGTTAGTCCTAGTTCTGCCTCTTTTAGCCTAAAGATGAAGTGGAAGCCCTCTTTGCCGTAACAGTATTTTCAATTTTTAAAAAGTTAATTCCCTTCCAGTGCTCTCTTTACTGAGCTAACCATTCCAGTTCTTTCAAAGTTCCTGAACTGGCACCAGCTGCCTCAAAGCGAAGAATGGATATCTAGTGCTCACAGCAGGAAAGCACTTAAAATCAATGAGCTTCAAACATTAGTATATACAGGACCCCCCTACGCATAAGTTCAGATTCTAAACCAGAAGTCTGAATTGAGTCCCGCGCTGTAAAGCCGGCATCTCAGAGAATTACAAAGCAGATGGTGTAAGAACCATATTTTGAAAAACACTGCCCCGTTTTAGAGACGAGAAAACTGAGGCCCAGCACAGGGAAGAGATTTGGCCCAGAACGCACAATTGTCTGTCGGTGGCGAAGTCTCGAATCCAGGTCTCTTACTTTCAGCCCAACTCTGTTCACCGCGCTCCCCGGCCTCTGCTTCTCCACTCAGGGCAAACTCGTGAAATGCACTCCCAGATGATAGAGGCGGTCTCGCACGGGGGATAGAATGGGAATCAGTGCCCATGCCTCGAAAGGAGAGCTTGTGGGAGCCCTTCTCTTTCGCAAGGCCTCAGTTTCCCCAATCTGTATTCATGGGACGCAGAACCACAACGCCAGCTCGTCCTCTTTTCGGGGACAGACACGACCGGTCTTGCTGTCTCTGGGCCCCTGGGCTCAGATGTTCAAGCCCGTGTGTCCTGGGAAGGCGGACCCGGGTCTCCCGCCCCCGTCCCTAAACTTTGGCGCCCCCGCCCCAACCCCAGCCCCTCACATACCTGCCTCCGCACAGTTAACGCCAGCCCAGTCAATCAGTTTTTCGGGTACACGGCCAATACTAACGCCGCGTCAATCTGTTGGGTAAGACCTCCGACCCCTCCTACGCGGACTCCAGTCACATGACGCGGAGCCGCCCCTCTCGGAGGGACTTCCGGCCCCAACCGGAAGAGGTTAATTTCCATGGCTGAAGCTCTAAGGTTCCGCCTGCGGGCAGGAAGCGGAGGAACCTTGGAGCTTCGGCAGCTTTTCAAAGAGCTTTGGGTTCGGGGCTCCTAAAAGAAAAAAACTGATTCCGGCCGGGCGCGGTGGCTCCCACCTGTAATTCCAGCAGTTTGGGAGGCCGCGGCGGATGGATCACTTGAGGTCAGGAGTTCGAGACCAGCCTGGCCAAAATGGTGAAACCCCTCTGTACTCAAAATACAAAAAGTAGCCGGTCGTGGTGGCGCACACCTGTAATCCCAGCTACTCGGGAGGCTGAGGCAGGATAATCGCTTGAACCCGGGAGGCGGAGGTTGCAGTGAGCTGAGATCGCACCACTGCACTCTAGCCTGGGCGTCAGAGTGAGACTCCGTCAAAAAAAAAAAAAAAAAAGAGAGAGAGAAAGAACTAACTCATTCCGGAAAGTACCAGATAAACTTGGAACATCTTGTTACACCAGAATATAAGGATGATGGTAATAAGAATCATGGGAATGTGTCAAAGAACACAGGAGCTGTCTTTAAGGAGATCTTACTGGCCAAGTCAGGGCAATTTCAGAATCAAAATATGGAGTGATAGTAATAGAGTATAACTAATTGAATAAAATAGTAATCCATGAGTCTTTACAAACATAAAGAAGTGAGCATATTAATGGGTGAAGGGAAAGTCTTCCTTTTAGTAGAATGCTAGCTAATAAACATGGTGGAATTAGGAAATCAATAATGTGTGGTAAAACTAGAGAAACGGGATGTTTACAACAGCAAAAGTGTCTCCCATAAATTAGCTATTGATTACAAAGGGAAAATGGTGATGTTACAGAGGTTTAACCTAGCAGAACAAACAGATCAAAGTGATCAAAGTTAACACCACTAGTTAATGGGTCAGATCAAGGGCCTCCTAATAAAATGCACTGAGAACACATCTGTGGTATTTCTGTCAAAAGTGCACCGTACACATCTCATGAGGAAGTGCTAGAGAACCCCAAATGAAGGACACTGTCTACAAAATAACTCATTGTCATGAAAAACAGAGAAAAGCTGAGGAACTGTTCCAGTTTAAAGGAGACTAAAGAAGCATGACAACAAAATGTGGTGTGTGATTCTAAATAGGACCCTGGACTGGGGTAGTGGTGGTGGTGGAATAGTTGTAATGGACAATATTGGGACAAGTAATGAAATTTGAATATGGATTGTGGATTAGCTGTTAATACATATTGTATCAAATCACATACTGATAGGTGATGGAGCTTGTGATTTGCACTCAAGCAGTCATTGGAGTTCTTGACAGCCATCTTCATTCATTCAACAAGCATTTATTAAGTACCTACAGTTATCCCAGGAACGGTTAGGGATCGGACCTGAGTAGGAGGTGAACATAGTAGATAAAGGCCGGCGCGGTGGCTCACGCCTATAATACCAGCACTTTGGGAGGTCGAGGCAGGCAGATCACCTGAGGTTAGGAGTTCGAGACCAGCCTGGCCAACATGGTGAAACTCATCTCTACTAAAAATACAAAAATTAGCCAGGCGTGGTGGCGGGCACCTGTAATCCCGGCTACTTGGGAGGCTGAGGCTGGAGAATTGCCTGAACCCAGGAGACAGAGGTTATAGTGAGCCAAGATCGTGCCATTGCACTCCAGCCTGGGCGACAAGAGTGAAACTCCATCTCAGAAAAAAAAATAAAAAATAGTAGATGAAATAAGCTCATAGATGAAAGTCCTAGTCTGCCAGCCACCTTTGCAAGTTCCTGTGATCAAGAAGTAATACAAGGGATGTTTCCAGTCACACAAACCTGGATTTGAAACCAAGCGCTAAGAGAAAAACAGCCCCTGACATCCAGGAGATGGTCTGGCACTCACAAATAGACCTTGGTGTGTTCTCTTATTGAACATAAAAACTTCACAGAACATCAACATCAAACAAAGCCACTATGTGACCATGATGGATCAAGACAATAACAAAACCACTTGAATCATGTCTAAACCCAGACAAAACATGAGCATTGTTCGAACTACAAAAATGGCCAAACATTTCCCTATTCTGGCTTGTATAGAGATTATAGATTTAGCCTCGGTCTACTCTTCCCTCCTTCTAAATAATGTTTATCAAGGTACTCACTCATAGGCAGCATCCAATCCAGAAAACCCCATTTTCTTAAGCCCTCGTCCAAATCACCTAATGCAAGCCCAAATCCTATGTGTCCTTTGTAACACTTTGTTACTGAGATGCCCCTTTGTTTGTTTGTTTGTTTGTTTGTTTGTTTTTGAGACAGAGTATCACTCTATCACTCAGGCTGGAGTGCAGTGGTGTGATCTCGGCTCACTGCAGCCTCTGCCTCCTGGGTTCAAGTGATTCTTCTGCCTCAGCCTCCCAAGTAGCTGGGATTACAGGCGCCCACCATCACTCCCGGCTAATTTTTGTATTTTTAGTAGGGACAGGGTTTCACCATGTTGGCCAGGCTGGTCTCGAACTCCTGACCTAAGGTGTTCCTCCCACCTTGGGCTTCTACAGTGCTGGGATTACAGATGTGAACCACCAAGCCCAGCTGCCCTATTGTTTCTCATGATTCATGTCCTCTCACCCTTACCCCATAACAAGTGATAAACTCAACTTGTTTAACCACAGGTGTGTTCCAATTTCTTCCTTCCTCAAAAAGTTGTTATGAGGATACTCGGAACAGGTTCATCACAGAGTGAGCTTTCTCTATCAATCGATCCATTATCTATTTTTTATTTTTTTAAAAAAACATGGTCTCAGCCTGTGGTCCAGACTGGAGTGCAGTGGCACACCATCCTAACTCACTGCAGGCTTCAACTCCTGGGCTCAAGTGATCCTCCCACCTCAGTCTCCTGAATAACTGTGACTACAGGCACGCACCACACCCAGCTAATATTTTTTATTTTTCTGTAGAGACAGGGTCCTGCTGTTGCCCAAGCTGGTCTCAAACTCCTGGCCTCAAGGGATCCTCCCAGTTTGGTCTCCCAAAGTGTTGGGATTACAGGCATGAGCCACCTCACCCAATGCTTTCAATATACTTTTAAAAATTATACATATATTTTTGAGACAGCACCTCACTCTGTCACTCAGATTGGAGTACAGTGATGCCATCTTGACTCACCTCAACCTCCGCCTCCCTAGCTCAAGCGATTCTCCTGTCTCAGCCTCCTGAGTATCTGGGATTACAGGTGCATGCCACTACCACCCAGCTAATTTTTGTATTTTTAGTAGAGATGGGATTTCACCATGTTGGCCAGGCTGCTCTCGAACTCCTGACTTCAGGTGATTTGCCCTCCTCAGCCTCCCAAAGTGTTGGGATTACAGGCGTGAGCCACCACGTTTCCCCCTCAGCTTGCATTGTTTCTGGGAGAACCTGCACCATACCTTTATCTATAGCTTTCCCCCAGGTCTTAAGAAGCACGAAGTTTTAACTGTGGACACGGGATTTGGTGAAGCAGCAATCACGACTGTGGGCACGAGTAGCAAGGCTGCAGCAGCACATTGACTATAGAATGAAATGCATCCTACAGGAAGGCACAATCTTCTTTGGCATCTTTAAGGCGTTTGACAAGCATGTGAATTTGATCCTCTGCGATTGTGATGAGTTCAGAAAGATCAAGCCAAAGAACGTGAAGCAACCAGAGCTCGAAGAAAAGCACTTTTGGGGTCTGGTGTTGCTGCATGGGGAGAACTTGGTATCCATGACTGTGGAGGGGCTACCCCCAAAATATACTGGCATTGCTCGGGTACCACTTGCTGGAGCTGCAGGAGGCCCTGGAGTTGTTAGGGCAGCTGGTAGAGGAGTATCAGCTGGTGTACCAATTCCCCAGGCTCCTGGTGGATTAGCAGGCCCCGTCCCAGGAGTTGGGGGACCATCCCAGCAGGTAATGACTCCACAGAGAAGAGCATTACTGGAGCCCCAACACAGTACCCACCAGGACCGGGGGCTCCACCCCCACCTGTTGGCAGAGCAGCCCCACCTCTAGGCATTATGTTTCCTCCACCTGGTATGAAACCACCCATGGGCCCACCAATTGGGCTTCCCCTTGCTAGAGGGACGCCAGTAGGCATGCCCCCTCCAGGAATGAGACCCTTTCCACCAGGAATGCATCCACCAAGACCCTGGGATATTGCTGATCCATCTCAGTCACTTTTCCCCCTGCAATGCATCTTGTGAAATTGTATAGTGTTTGTGAGCTTTTTGTCCCTTCTTTCTGCGTTAATCATAGCTAATAATAAATGCCTAAAGCAATTAAACTGTGGGAAAAAAGATATTGAAGCCATCAGCTTTCATTAAGATAAACTCCCTGATTATATTCCTCTTTGCTCTTTTTGTTGGGTTCATAAGGTGGAAAAAATGGAGAGAGTTCAACTTTTCCTTAGTCGGAAATGAGGTCATTCTCATGGTATTTTCTGGAAAGCAATAACCACGTTCCTGAAACTTTAACATTAGGGAACCAGCACTGTTTATTTCTTCATGTTCTTGTTATTAAAAACGTTCCCAAGAAGTAGCAGAATTGGAACTACCAAACTTGGAAGCACTTCAGCTTCAAAAATATATCAAGTAATATCTTCTCTGCTTTAGCACACTAAGGCACTTATAATCCCTGGAAGCCCTGTTGGTGATGTTGGCATTTATCCTGCTGGAACCCAGCATAGATTTAATATTATTTGATGCCTACAACATTGTGCTGAATAAAAAATATTCATTCCGGTGGGAAATAATTTTAAAAATATAAATTTTCTGATTTCTTCCTCTGCTTGCTCCCAAGTCCCCCTGCCCCCTCCCCTTCTTTGCCCTTACTCCTTTAATAATAATAATAGCAGTAGCTAACATTTATTGAATGTTTATAAAGTGCTGCATACTGTGCTAAGGGCTTTATGCAATTTAACCCTCACCCCAGGATTGTGAAGGAAGTCTTACTACAGATGAGAGGCTAGAGGACCAGAGAAGTTAAGCAACATGCCCAAGACTACACAGCTGGTAAGAATCAGGCCCAAAATTGGAATCCGCCCTCAAAACCTGCTCCTGTTGAAATGTTGCTTCACCACCCTGGCACAGAGAGTAGGGTCTGTGAAGGGATGGAAGGAGTGATAGACTGGCAAGGAAGGAAGGGCTTGGGGTAGTGGGTGGGGTGGGTGGGAGTGGAAGACCATGCAGAGGCATTTAGACCCTCTCCAGAGGGCAGAGGGAAGGGATGGAGATTAGGAACACAACACAAATAGGAGGCCCCTGTAGAACCTCAGGGGGAGCCATGAGTTTGGGGGACCAGGAAGGTTGAAGAGTGGGTAAATTAGGCCAGGCGCGGTAGCTCATCATGCCTGTAATCCCAGCACTTTGGGAGGCTGAGGCGGGCGGATGACCTGAGGTCAGGAGTTCGAGACCAGCTCAGCTAACATGGTGAAACCCTGTCTCTACTACAAATACAAAAATTAGCTGGGCATGGTGGTGGGTGCCTGCAATCCCAGCTACTTGGGAGGTTGAGGTAGGAGAATCATTTGAACTGGGGAGGCGGAGGTTGCAGTGAGCCGAGATCACACCATTGCACTCCAGCCGGGGCGACAAGAGTGAAATTCTGTCTCAAAAAAACAAAACAAAAACAAAAACAAAAAACAAAAAACAACAACCAAAGAGTGGGTAAATTATAAGGTGGGAGAAGGGCATGATTAAGGACCTGGGCCACAGGTGTTTACTTGCCAAGTGAGGAGAGGCAAGAAGTCTGGGGGACCTTCTGGCCCACTTGATTTTTTTTTTTTTTTTTAACAGAGTCTCCCTCTGTCACCCAGGCTGGAGTGCGGTGGCACAATCTTGGCTCATTGCAACCTCTGCCTCCTGGGTTCAAGCGATTTTTCATGCCTCGGCCTCCCGAGTAGCTGGAAGCAGGCAGGCACTCACCACTACACCCGGCTAATTTTTTGTCTTTTTAGTAGAGACGGGTTTTCACCATGTTACCCAGGTGGTCTCAAACTCCTGAGCTCAGGCAATCCGCCTGCCTTGGCCTCCCAAAGTGCTAGAATTATAGGCATCAGCCAGGCCTATTTGATCTTCTAGGACTCACAGGTCCCTGCTCTTCTCTGGGACTCAATTTTATGATCTGTTCAATGCAAGGAGAGAGAGAGGATTCCAGCATCCCAGGGAGCACCAGCTCTTAAGGAGGTAGCATCACTTTCTCCTCCAGTCTCCTCACCTGACATGGGGGAGAAGGTTCCCTGGACCTAGCCATTTCCCTACCCCTACCCCACATTAGTCTCTCCTCATGGGTACAGGAGGCTGAGAGAGGAAGACTGTGTCTGCAGACAGAAGTGAGAATAAGCCAGAGAAAGCACTCCCTGATTCTCCTAAATCCCAGTTCTTCCACAGAGGAGTGGGCAGGTTAGGAGCATGGCCTCATTAGTCCCCTGATCTGGGGCAAATAGGCAAATCTTTGCTGTGTGCCCTCAGACAGGCCACCCACCCCTGGGCCTCAGGCTCCTCTCATTCTCTGTGTATGGGTGCTAGGGTCACGTTGAAGCCTGCTGCTCCCCTGCCATCAAGTTCCCTGCCCCAGGACAGCTCAGGGTCCGTCTATTCAGTCTTCTACTGGGGCCTGGCCCAGGGCTCTGCCCTTATGGTGGCCCTGCTGGTCAGGGGCAGAGTGAACCAGCCTGACCTTTCAGATTCACGTCTGGTAGTGATAGTATTTTTTGTTTAGATACATAGCCACCAGGTAGTATCTGAGCCATATTCTGGAATCTTCTGAGAGCTAGGTCAGCAGGACTCTATTCTTGGGAATTAGGCCCTTTCCAGAGGATTCTAGTATATTCCTAGCAAAGATGAAGCATGGCCAAAAGTTCAGGAAGCTGGCCAGGCACAGCGGTTCACATCTGTAATATCAACATTTTGGGAGGCCGACAAGGGAGGATTACTTAAGGCTAAGAGTTCAAAACCAGGCTGGGCAATATAGCAAGACCCTGTCTCTACAAAAAAAAATTTAGCTGGGCATGGTGGCATTCATCTGTAGTCCCAGCTACTGAGAAGGCTGAGGTGGGAAGATGGCTTGAGCCCAGGAGCTTCAGGATGCAGTGAGCTATGATCACGCCGCTGCACTTCAGCCTGGGTGACAGAGTGAGACCTTTTCTCTAAAAAAAAAAAAAAAAGTCTGGAAACCAGGGAAAGAAATACTAGTGAAGAGAAGGACAATACAAAAAGGCACTGAGAAATTATGGAATTATGGGATCCTGGGTAGTGTGGAGAGGGAGGGAGGTGGGGCACTCATTGGACAGTGGAGCTGCCTTGCACATCTGGGAGACTGAAGGAAGGGCAGATGTTTGCTCTGGGCCTACTATGTGCCAGGCATTATGGGGAGGTCCTTCCTTTTTTCTTTTTTTCTTTTTTTCTTTTTTTTTTTTGAGACGGGGTCTTACTCTGTCACCCAGGCTGGAGGAGGGCAGTGGTGCGATTTTGGCTCACTGCAGTCTCAACCTCCTCAGGCTCAGGTGCTCCTCCTACCTCAGCCTCCTGAGTAGCTGGAACTGCAGGCATGTGCCACGATGCCCAGCTAATTTTTGTATTTTTTGTAAAGACAGGGTTTTGCCATGTTGTCCAGGCTGGTCTGGAACTTCTGGACTCAAGCAACCTGCCTGCCTTGGCCTCCCAGATTACTGAGGTCATAGATGTGAGCCACTGTGCCTGGCCGGGAGGTCCTTTTCTTTTTTTCTTTTTTTTTTGAGACAGAATCTCACTCTGTCGCCCAGGCTGGAGTGCAGTGGTGCAATCTCTGCTCACTACAACCTCTGCCTCCCGAGTTCAAGCAATTCTCCTGTCTCAGCATCCTGAGTAGTTGGGATTACAGGTGCGCGCCACCACGCCCAGCTAATTATTTTGTATTTTTAGTGGAAACGGGGTTTCACCATGTTGGTCAGGCTGGTCTCAAACTCCTGGAGGTCATTTTCTCATACTTTTCTCAGTGAGTCCTTTTAACAGTTCATTGAGGAAAGAAGTATTTGTGGCCACTTTACAGAGGAGGAAGCTGAAGTTCAGAGAGGTGAGGAAATGTGACCAAGGTCACACAACAAGGAAATAGAGCCAGATTCAGTGCTTCCAAGTCCAGAAGGGTGAACTAGAAGTAGGGCTGCCAGATAAAATACAGGATATGCCCAATTAAATTTGAAGTTCACATAAACATCAAATTTTAAAAAATATAAATATGTCCCAAATATCACCTGGGACATACTTACATTTAAAAATTATTATGCTGGGTGCGGTGGCTTATGCCTGTAATCCCAACAGTTTGGGAAGCCAAGGCAGGAGGATCGCTTGAAGCCAGGAATTTGAGACCAGCTTGGGCCACATAGACCCCATCTCTACTAAAAGTTTTAAAAATTAGCCAGGCGTGGTGGTGCACGCCTATAGTCCCAGTTACTCAGGAGGCAGAAATGGGAGGATCACTTGAGCCCAGGAATTCAAGGCTGCAGTGAGCCATGATTGTGCCACTGCACTCCAGTCTGGGCAACAAAGCAAGATCTTGTCTCAAAAGAAAAAAAAATTACATGTTCTTTATCTGAAATTCAAAATTAACTTGACTTTTCTTTTTTGCTAAATCTTTGGTAGAGGGAATGCCTACACCTTGACGGCATAAAAGGGCAGAGCCTAGGACTGTGGGGTCTGGGAGAGAAGTGAGAGTGACTTCGCGACCCCTTCTCAGGCCTCAAGGAGGAGGCCCAGGCACTAGCACCAAGCCACCAGGGTCTACACAAACCAGGGTCTACACAGCTCCCGGACAGGTGTCTAGAAACTTTCCCAGGATGTAGGGCAATGAACACTTAAAGGGACAAAGGCCCTCAGACTCTCCCCAACCCTGTACCACATTTATTCACCCTCCTCCATACCAAGAAATTACCCTATCCTTTGTCCTCCATGTTCAGACCAAAAACCTGGGAATCATTCTTGTTTCCCCAATGCTACATGTAGAGCTGTGCTATCCGAAACAGTGGTCTTCGGTCTCATGTGGCTGAGTGCTTGAGATGGAATCCAAATTGAAATGCACAATAAGTGTAAATAAAATACACACAGGATATCAAAAACTTGGTACCAAAAAAGGGTGTAAAATGGCTTGTTAATAATTTAAAAATAGTGATTACATATTGAAATAATATTTTACACATCGGATCACATAAAGTGTATTATTAATCTTTTTTTTTGAGACCGGGTCTCACTCTCTCATCCAGACTGGAGTGCAGTGGCAGGATTGATCAAAGTTCATTGCAGCCTGAAGTCCTGGACTCAAAGTGATCCTCCCACCTCAGCCACCAGGGGTGCACCACCAGGTCCAGCTCACAAAATGTCTTATTAAAATTACTTTCACCTCTTTCTTTTATGTTCTCGATGGCTAGAAAATTTCAGATTACATTTGTGGCTAGCATTGGAATTCTGTTGACCAGTGTGGGTGCAGACATGGTCTGATTTGTTCATCTGTAAAATAGGTTTGGAGAGGTGGAGTCATTGGCTCATAGTCATACGCAGCGTCCAACCTTGGCATAGTGGGATGGGAAATCAGGTTATTTTGAACCCTGAGCCCATGGCTACCCGTCAGCCCCCTGGGCTGACATTTGACCTCTTCCAGAATCATATGCCCTCCTGAAACCACAACCAGTCCTCAGTGGAGACCTAAGGTATGCTCGCCCATCCTAGTGTGGGGACTTGGGGGTGGGGGTGGGGGCGGGGGCTTCCTGAATGGGATTGTAACCCCCCACCAAATTCACCTTGCCTGCTGCCTAGACAGAGCCGATTTATCAAGACAGGGGAATTGGAATGGGGAAAGAGTAATTAATGTAGAGCCGGCTGTGGGGGAGACCCGAGTTTTATTGTTACTCAAATCAGTCTTCCAGAGCATTTGGAGATCAGAGTTTTTAAAGATAATTTGTAGGGGCTTAGGAAGTGGGGAGTGCTGATTGGTCAGGTTGGAGATGGAATTATAGGGGGTCGAAGGGAGTTTTTCTTGCTGTCTTCTGTTCCTGGGTGGGATGGCAGAGCTGGTTGAGCCACATTACTTGTCTGGGTAGTGTCAGCTGATCCATCCAGTGCAGGGTCTGCAAAATACCTCAAGCACTGATCTTAGATTTTACAATACTGATGTTATCCCCAGGAGCAATTTGGGGAGGTTCAGACTCTTGGAGCCGGAGGCTGCATGACCCTAAACTGTAATTTCTAATCTTGTAGCTAATCTGTTAGTCTTGCAAAAACAGACTGGTCCCCACCAGGCAAGAAAAGGGTCTTTTTGGAAAAGGGCTATTACCAATTTTGTTTCAGAGTCAAATGATTAACTGAATTCCTTCCCAAAGTTAGTTTGGCCTACGCCCAGGAATGAACAAGGTCAGCTTAAAGGTTAGAAGCAAGATGGAGTCGGTGAGGTCTGATTTCTTTCAGTGTCATGATTTCCTCAGTTATAATTTTTGCAAAGGTGGTTTCAGGATGGCTAAGCCAACATCTGAAGGATGAGTAAGAACAAGCCAGGTAAAGAAGGGGGAAAAGTGTTTTAGGCAAAGGGAACAGCATGTGCAAAGGCTCTTAGAGAGTGTGTTAATTGAGAATATGAATGTAGTTCCGTGTGGTTAGAACAGAGATGTGGGGAGTAGGTGAGGTCAGCTGGGCTCAGATCCTGCAGTGCCCACCAGGCTTCAGCATGAGCCTCTCTGGTCAGAAGACAGATGTAGACAGTGGAGAGAACTGGCTATGTTTGTGTTTTAGAAAGATTGGGCCTGCTACCGTTTGGAGAACCACTGTTCCAAGAGATAAAATTGAGAACCAGAGAAGAAAAGGGCTTGTTCAGGGTCATATAGCGAATCAGAGCCAAGAAGGACTAGGCTAGCAGGCACAACCGACCAGGAAAGGAGCAGACAGCCTTGTTCAGGAGTCTCAAGGAGGCACTGGCATGGGGTGTCCACTAGATGACAGCAGAGGCTGGACCAAACTCCAGGGGCTTCGGGCAGGACCCACCCTGCTTTTCCACAAGCCTTCCTCTTTCCATTTCCCTGGTCTGGGCATCAGAGGGCCTCTTTCCTAACCCTTTTCTCCAGACCCCAGAGCAGCAAGGAGAGCCCTGGGTGTCAGGAGGCTCAGAGACTAGCCCTAGCTCCATTTCCCCTCTGCCATTGACATAGGGCAAATTCAAAGATTAAAAACTGCTTGAGAACTTGAGTCTTTGGCTGTAGAAATAGAAGTGGCATTATTAGTCTACCAGGAGCCACATTCTGTAGTTAGATCTCCTGCTGAGCCTCTTGATCCTCCTTTAATGCTCCCTGTCCACCCACCCTCTTCATTCTATCTTGTGAGTTAGACTCCCAGAGACTGTCAATGGCCCCAAGGCCCAGGCCAGCCCTAAGAGGGAAGGAAGGGATGTGAGCTAAGTTCTCTGAGTTAGAGCCAACACAAACAGCCCAGGTTTAAACCTCAGCCAAGGGGCCTTGTGTAGAACAAAATAGTGGATATGTCGCAGAGCTTTGGGCAAATCTGATCTCCTCCTAGGGCCTCCATTGTGAAATGAGGTGAAGAGTCCCTGGGTGTCTTCACTTCACTCCTGCTGGGCAGGGTTACCAGATATAGTAAACAAAAACACAGGATATGCAGTTAAATTAGAATTTCAGATAACTAAAAAAGTAATTGCAGCCAGGCACAGTGGCTCATGCCTGTAATCCCAGCACTTTGGGAGGCCAAGGCAGGCAGATCACTTGAGGTCAGGAGTTCAAGACCAGCCTGGCCAACATGGTGAAACCCTATCTCTACGAAAAATACAAAAATTAGCTGGGTGTGGTGGCGGGAGCCTGTAATCCAAGCTACTCAGGAGGCTGAGGCAAGACAATCGCTTAAACCCAGGAGGTGGAGATTGCAGTGAGCCGAGATTGTGCCACTGCACTCCAGCCTGGGTAACAGAGCAAACTCCATCTAAAAAATAAAAATAAAAATAAATAATAATAATTGCAATGTTTGGGCATATACTTACATAAAAATTATTTATCGTTTTCTGAAATTCAAATGTAACTAGACTTTTTTTTTTTTATCTGACAACTCTAGTACTGGGACATGGTAGGATGTCAAGTGGTGTTGGAACAGGAGGGGAGTGAATCTTGCACTCAGCATCATTCTATCCCATACCCCAAGGTCCTTTGGGGCTTCATTGTCCAGGTAGGTAGATCTCTCACAGCCCATTCTGCCCCTTGTTTCTACTGGATTTCCCTATAGTTTCTGGCTTACTGTGAGGCATTCCCCTCAGTGAGCTCCTTCCCCAACTCTGATCTTCACTGCACTCCAGGGAAGAAAGAAAAGTAGGCATAAGCATCCCAATCAGTAGAGTGTATAACAGGGATTCAGCCAAAGTAACTGACTTGCCCAAGGCTGCCCAGGAGGGGAAGTGGAGCTAGGGGTTGAACCCAGGGTATAGGGAAGGATCTCCTGGGCTTCTTAGAACCCCACTAGCAGGCTGGAGTCATCTGGGGACATACAAGGAGCCCACATTCTACAGCCTGGTGAACTGAATATCAGGTCAGTCACACCACCATCTTGCCTGGCTTCTGCCCTCAAGTGCCCTCCTTAAATGAAGATCTCATTTGTCAAAGGCTACTGTGTGTCAGTCACTGAGGCACTTTAGTTACACTCACATTAATCCTCATGGCATAAATGTTATTATCTCCGCTTTACCAATGAGGCCCAAAGAGGCAAAAAGACTTGGCTGAGATCACACAGAAAGTGAGAAAAAGTCTAGGTCTCAAATTTGGGTCTGATCTGGGCTTATTCCATCCTACCATACTGCCTTCCCTACACCAATGGTGTTAGATACACCTGGAGTTTTTAGGTGGAAGACTAATCTGCAAACAATAACAGTTTTGTTTCTTCCTTTCCAAACTTGACAATTTGTATTTTTTTCTTGTCTTATTGCATTGGCTGGGACTTTTAGTAGCATTAATAGTAGGTACCCATGATGTGTTCCTGATTTTAATAGAATGTTTCTATGTTAGTTACCTATTGCTGTGTTAAAAAAAATTAGCATCTCAAACAAACATTTATTAACTCACAGTTTCTGAAGGTTAGGAATTCAAGAGTAGCTCAGTTGAATAGTTCTGGCTCAGAATGCATGAGGTTACAGTGATGACATCAGCCACATTTCTCCAAAGAAAATACAGGTCGAGCATCCCTAATCCAAAAATACAAAATCCAAAATGCTCCAAAATCCAAAAGTTTTTGAGTGCTAACATGATGCTCAAAAGAAATGCTTGTTGGAGCATTTAAGATTTTGGGTTTTCTGATTAGAGATGCCCAGCTGGTTAAGTATAATGCAAATATTCCAAAATCTGAAAAAAACCCAAATCTGAACACTTCTGGTCCCAAACATTTCAGATAAGGGATACTCAACATGTATATAAATGGCCAATAAGCACATGAAAAGATGCTCAATATCATTAGTCATCAGGGAAATGCAAATCAAAATCACAATGAGATACCACTTCACAATAGGACAGCTATAAAGACAGACAATAACTAATGTTGGCAAGGATGTGGTGAAATCAGAACTTTCATACACTGCAGTTAAGAATGTAAAATAGTGGCTGGGCGCGGTGGCTCACGCCTGTAATCCCAGCACTTTGGGAGGCCGAGGCGGGCGGATCACAAGGTCAGGAGATCGAGGCCATCTTGGCTAACACGGTGAAACCCCGTCTCTACTAAAAATACAAAAAATTAGCCGGGCGCGGTGGCGGGTGCCTGTAGTCCCAGCTACTCGGGAGGCTGAGGCAGGAGAATGGCGTGAACCTGGGAGGCGGAGCTTGCAGTGAGCCGAGATTGCGCCACTGCAATCCGGCCTGGGCTAAACAGCGGGACTCCGTCTCAAAAAAAAAAAAAAAAAAAAAAAAAAAAGAATGTAAAATAGTGCAGTCACTGTGGGTGCAGCGCACCAGCATGGCACATGTATACATATGTAACTAACCTGTACATTGTGCACATGTACCCTAAAACTTAAAGTATAATAATAATAAATTAAAAAAAAATAGTGCAGTCACTTTGAAAATCAGCCTGGCAGTTCCTCAAAATGTTAAATATAGAGTTAGCATATGACCCAGCAATTTCACTCCTAGGTATATACCCAAGAGAAATAAAATCATACGTCCATGGCCAGGCGTGGCAGCTCATGCCTGTAATCCCAGCACTTTGGGAGGCTGAAGCAGGTGAATCATGAGGTCAGGAATTCAAGACCAGCCTGGCCAATGTGATGAAACCCCATCTCTACTAAAAATACAAAAATTAGTCAGGCGTGGTGGCGCACGCCTGTAATCCCAGCTACTTGGGAGGATGAAGCAGGAGAATTGCTTGAACTCGGGAGGTGGAGGTTGCGGTGAGCCGAGATCATGCCACTGCACTCCAGCCTGGGTGACAGAGCAAGACTGCATCTCAAAAAAAAAAAAAAATTAAAATAGTATGTCCAAAAACTTGCACATGAATGTTCATAGTAGCATTATTCATAATAGCCAAAAAATGGAAGCAACCCAAACGTCCACCAGCTGATGAATGGAAAAGCAAAATGTGGTATATCCATACAATGGAATCTTATCCAGTCATAAAAAGGAATGAAGTACAAATAGATGCTGCTACAACACAGATGAACCTTGGAAACATTATGCTAAATGAAAAGTGCCAATCACAAAAGACCACACATTGTACAATTCTCTAGATATGAAATGTATAGAATATGCAACTCTATAGCCAGGCCTGGTGGCAGGCATCTGTAGTCCCGGCTACGCAGAAGGCTGAGGCAGGAGAATGGTGTGAACCCGGGAGGCGGAGCTTGCAGTGAGCCAAGATTGCGCCACCGCACTCCAGCCTGGGCAACAGAGCGAGACTTCGTCTCAAAACAAAACAAAACAAAACAAAACAAAAGAATATGCAACTCTATGGAGACATAAAGTAGATTAGTGGTTTATAGGGGATGGGGGAGAGAGGAAGGCAGAATGACTTACAGGATTTCTTTTTGGGATGATGAAAATGTTCTGGAATTAGATAGTGGTGACGGTTGCACAACTATGGATATACTAAAAAACATTGAACTGTATACTTTAAATGGATGCATTGTATGGTATGTGAATTGTATCTTAAAAGTTCTGTTTCCAAAAAAAAAGTCAGATGGGGCTGTACTTATCTGAAGGCTTGACTGGGGCTTAAGGGTCTGCTTCCAAGTGGCTCACTCACAAGAATGTTAACAGAAAGCCTCAGTTCCTCCCTCACCACATGGGCATCTTCATAGGGCTGCTTGAATGTCCTTTTTGTTTTTTGTTTTGTTTTGTTTTTCTTTTGTCTTGTTTTTGAGGCAGTGAGATCCTGCAACTCTGTTGCAGTTGGAGTGCAGTGGTACAATCATGGTTCACTGCAGCTTTCACCTCCAGAGCACAAGCGATCCTCCCACCTCAGCCTCCCAAATAGCTAGACCACAGGTGTGTGCCACTATACCCAGCTAATTGTTTTTGTTTTTGTTTGTTTGTTTGTTTTTTGAGACAGGGTCTTGCCATGTTGGTCAGCCTGGTTTCAAACTCCTGGCCTCAAGCAATCCTCCTGCCTCAGCCTCCCAAAGTGTTGGGATTACAGGGGTGAGCTACCACACCTGGTCCTGCTTAAATGTCTTTGTGACATGTCAGCTGGCTTCCACAGAGTGAGTCATCCAGGAAGAAGAGCAAGAAGTCAGGCACAATGCCTTTTATGACTTAGTCTCAGAAGTTACCTCACTTCCATCACATTTTATTTGTTAGAAGCAAGTCACTAAGTGTAGCTCATACTCAAGGTAGGGGAATTAGGCTCCACCATTTGAAAGGAGGAGTATCAAAGAATTTCTGCACATCTTCTTAAACCACCACAGCTTCTAATGTTGTTCTGTGACCTAGAATGATTTCTGTAGTGTCCCTGACTCCCCATCTCTCTCTGTCTCTTTTATTCTAGTTTAATAAGCTATTGAATTGAATAATGTGTTTCTTCCCATCTACTGAGATGTTTAGTTTTAGACACAAGTTGTGTCTCATTCTTTATTCCCTCATACTTAGGGCTGGGTTTCATTGATGGCAGGTATGCTAGGGGCTGAACTACCTGGAAATGTTACAGGCATGGTCCTATAGCCATAGATTTGTACTCCATAACCCTAGGATCTCCTGGAAGAAGACTGCCTTCTGGGCTTCCTCCCCAGATGCCAGACTCTGTCTGTCTCACTGGGTTTCCTCTCCTGGTCTGCAGTGGGGGCTGCCCCAGCCAAATGGGTGCGTACGTTCCCAGATGTGGCAGCAGTCTCCTAACAACCTCCAGCCAGAGCACCATCAGGATCTGCAAAGCAGAGGCCACTGTCTTCCTGGGAAGTCTGCCAGCCAATGTCTGGGCACAGCTGGGACACTAGGGCTTGGCCATTTCTGCCCAATTGGGACTCTTCTACAGGCAGTCTTTGCACCAGAGCTCCCTGTTGGCTGGCTGAGACTTTTTCAGAGTGGCACTTCAACATGAGGCTCTTCTCAACCAACCCTCCTTCCCCTCTCTTCCCATAGATGTCAGATCTGAAACACAGTCGGAAGGCTTTCCCTGCCCAGTCCTGCTTCTTCCCCCTTTATCTTTCATAGGCATTTCCTCTGATGAATCTCTTGGACTTCTAACTCTAGGTTGGCAGCAGTTTCCTAGAGGACCCAGCTGACACCCTGGCCCTGGCCCTTTTCTGTGGCTGCCAGATCCCAGTTCCCTGGGGCATGAGTTCCCTCTCCACCCCTCCTGACCGCTCTATTCCCTCTTCCTTCCTCTCTTTCGCAGGCTGTGTCCACAGTCTCAACCTGTGCCTGGCACATAGTAGATTCAGTAACTACTTGTTTTTGAATGGACACAGAATACTCTGGAGCTAGGCACTGCCCCCCCCATTCTCCTGGCATAGAGAGCCACAGAGAGGCCCCTGGGTAAGGCTGGGAGTGCCAGCTCCATGGGCCAGAAGGAAGGCACCCTTCAGGCGACTGGGGAAGGAAGGCCTGAGGCTAGGAGGCTGTGGGAGAGCCAAGAGACTCCCAGATCCCAGGGAGGCCTTCCTCACATGCCAGGGGAAGTCGAAGCTGGCTTCTCTCTGGATCTGCTGGGTGAGCAAGTCACTCCTTTTCTTGGGCCTTACTCCATACCTCTATGGGACTATGGGATGAGAAGCCCCACCCTGCCTGTCTCCCTAGGGAGAGGCAGGGGTAGTGAGCTTCAGGTGAAGTCATGTCTGGGAAAACATGAATGGGAAAGGGCAGGGCACACGGGGTTTGGGGGTTTGTGTATGGGGAAGGATGGTGAGAGACAGGGATAGACGATCACACAGGGAAGAAGGAGAGGCCCTGCCCCTCCTTCTCTCATGAACCCCCACCCCTACTCCCCACTGGCACCCACTATGCACCCTGCCTCACCCAGACAGGTGGAGGGCCAGAGAAAAGCCTCAGACCCTCTTCCGTCTGCAGGACCCAGGCCTTCCTGTCTCGCTGGTTTGGCCCCTCTGCTCCAGGGCCTCTGAGGGACACCCTGGTGGAAGGCAGGACTCTGAGCCTGTCTTGTGGCTGACTGACTTGTTTTTGGGTGGAGTCTGGACAGAAAGCTCAGTGACACCCTCCCTCGAGGCCTGGGCAAGCCCCAGCCTGATGTTCTTTGAGACCCAGACTGGAAAAGACCTCAAAGTTCAACTCCACTGTACTTCTCACTGTACAGTGGGGGAAACTGAGTCCCAGAAAGGGACAGGGACAAGCCTGGAGTGACCCAGGCAGGTAGTGT
The DNA here is from genome assembly GCF_000001405.40 of Homo sapiens. Lineage (NCBI taxonomy): Eukaryota > Metazoa > Chordata > Mammalia > Primates > Hominidae > Homo > Homo sapiens. The sequence continues at coordinate 31,142,333 of NC_000022.11, read as the reverse complement.
CCTGGCCACTGTTCCCACAGTTGCCATCTAGCCCGAGCTCTCAGATATCACAGATGCTGTGGCCCCAAAATCTTGGGACTTGCTTTCTCCTGAGTAAACTGCTTCCTGGCCAGGGGTATCCTGAGGCTTTAGTGATGGTGTTTTGGGTGCCAGGAACTGTGCTGGGAATCTTACCCAACATCCTGTGGAGTGACTACTGTGATTATGCCCATGATACAGATGAGGAAACTAAGACTCAGAGAAGTTAAGATTTCCAAGCCTAGGGTCTGTGTGGAAACCTAAGCTGGACCTGTCTGACCTCGAAAGCTTGGCTCCTCGTATCCTACCTCCCAGCCTCCCCAGGTGATGGGCAGGGAAGGGCTCAGCAATGTGGAAAAGGGGGCAGAGGTGGGTGGCAGTTCCTATGATGGGAGGAAGTCTCAGCATGATGATTTTTCAAACATCACAACTCTTCACAGAAGGACTCACCTTTGTTCAGCTACATCCTTGCCCTTGGGGACCCCAGGTCTACCTCCTCTGCCACCACTCGCTGTATTCCACACCCCCTTTCTCAACCTCTGGCAAGAAGGCGCTTGGTCCCTGGACTAGCCCTACCCTCTTTCCCTTCTCTTCATTGTTCCCAGCTATGATGCTTTGAGCCACAGGCCCAGGCTGGTTCTGAAGCTACAGAGATGGACCTGCCCACCCTGCAGCCCCCTTCCCCCTCTGCCACACAGTGAGCTCTCCTTCCCCAGCTCTGCCCCTGGCTTTACCTCACTGGGGCTCATCCCCTGGAAGAGACTCAGATGGAGCCTGGGGCAGGGGGAGGCTGGAGAAGCAGCAGGCTAATGGGCAGATGGAAGACAGACAAGTCACTGTCCTGGCCAGCCCTGACTCCCATCCAGATCCCCAAGCGCTGCATTCCCATCCTCTAAGCCCTCCCCAGCTGGAGCCTGTCACCTGAGGTTTTCCCACCCTCACTGAGCCTCAGTTTCTTCATCTGCACTATGGGTGTAAGCACCCTGGCCTCACTAGATGGTTGGAAGCTGGGCTTTGGGATCCAGGAACAATACCTGGGTATAGCCCCTTCCTGATGGAGAGATTCCTGTCTCATGAGGCACACATGATGCCTGCTGTGTCCCCCCAGGTGGCCAGGGATGGAGGTGGCCACAGACATACACCCTGGGCCACTCTCTGCCACTCTAGGGACCATAGTTCTTTCAAATCCAGAGCATCAGCCCTGCCCTGTGTGGCTCTCAAGGCCTGTTCCCGCTGCGTCTCCCCCAGTTATCAGACCAGGAGGGTTGCTGCAAGGCCAGGCCCATGCTTGGAGTCCTAGGAAGCGGGGAGCCCTGGGGCTCTGTCCCCTGAGTATGCCGAGAGCCTTTCTAAGAACCAGGACTTGGCAGGGGAGCACCCCAGGTGGCACTCCCTTTCCCAGAAGCCTTGGGAACTCCCAGGGTGGTAGCTTCAGAGCCCCAGCCCTTCCTTCACCCAGCCCTGGCAGAGGCCCATGGCCCCCTGCCAGCCTGATGGAGGTGGATGTGGCAGCCACCGCTGTGGTAAGGGTGAGAAGGGTGGGTTCTAAGGGACTCCTCCAAGCTCCTGAACCCTTTTCCTTCCCTTCAAGGAGATGTGAAAGCCCCAGCCTGGTCCCCATCCCACAGCTTAGGGCTTTGGCTCCCATAGTCCCAATCTAGGCAGGGCTGGCAGCAGGTGACTGGATGGTGCTGAGAAGGCAGGCAGAATGGGGGCGTGGGCCCTGGCAAGTGCACTCCTCAGCCAATCAGCGTCCTGCCCGGCTGGTGGATTCGGTTACAAGCCCAAGATCACCCCATACTCCAGCCTCTTTCCTCCTCCTCCCGCAGCTCCATTCATTGGTCCCGCCGCACCGGGCCTGCTGGGCTCCGCTTCCGTTCCACTGCTCAGCTGCCGCCTGGTGGGGCCACCAAGGGCAGGCATCCCAGGGGCTTTGTCTGACTGGACTGGGCCAGTGCAGAATGGGGGTTCAGGCAGGGCTGTTTGGGATGCTGGGCTTCCTGGGGGTGGCCCTGGGGGGCTCCCCTGCCCTCCGCTGGTACAGGACCTCCTGCCACTTGACCAAGGCCGTCCCTGGCAACCCACTGGGGTACCTGAGCTTCCTGGCCAAGGATGCTCAGGGACTGGCCCTGATCCATGCCCGCTGGGATGCGCATAGGAGGCTGCAGTCATGTAGCTGGGAGGATGAGCCGGAGCTCACCGCAGCCTACGGTGCTCTCTGTGCTCATGAGACTGCCTGGGGCTCCTTCATCCACACCCCCGGACCCGAGCTGCAGAGAGCACTGGCCACTCTTCAGAGTCAGTGGGAGGCATGCCGAGCGCTTGAGGAGAGTCCAGCAGGGGCCAGGAAGAAGCGAGCAGCAGGGCAGAGTGGAGTCCCTGGTGGAGGGCACCAGCGAGAGAAGAGAGGATGGACCATGCCTGGCACACTGTGGTGTGGAGTTGGAGATTCTGCTGGGAACTCCTCGGAGCTGGGTGAGCCATGAGGGGTGTGTGGGCTGGGGGGTCCGATCGGGGAAGCAAGGTTTCTTCAGCCCCAGCCCTTACTCTCCTAGGCTGTGTGTCCCTGGGGGAGTGACTTGACCATGGTGAACCTCAATTTCCTTATCTGTAAAGTGGGGGCAATCACGAATCTCATCATGGGGTGCTTAAATGAGGTCACGGTTGGGGAAAGTCTTATTCAAACCTGGGAGTCCTCATTAAATGCCATCCGAGGGACTGGGCAGGCTGGGGGAGGATCCAGGGTCAACTGAGCCAAAAAGCCATTACCCAGGAGGAGGCTTTGTGGGCACGGGGTGCCCAGTGGAATGGATGCTGAGACGAAAGGCCTGGGTTCAAATCCCAACTCAGCACATACAAGCTGAGCAAGTCACTTCCCCTCTCTGGACTTATTTCCTCACCTGTAAAATGAAGGTGATACCTCCCTTTCAGGGCTGGCTGTGAACCTGGATGTGGGAAGTGCCAGGCATGTGGGAAATGCTTAGTAAAGAGTGCTATTTTTTAGATGGTAATAAACATAGATGAATTTCTTGCACTATCAGTACAGATGTCTGTGCGTTTGTGTGCAGGGTTGGGGGAGGGCTTGGCACCTGAGTCAGAGTAGGTTGGCATCCTGGCGACACCTCCTTGTGCCAGTGAGAAAGGTTGCACCCTGCCTGTTTGCCATTCCATCATACACACATTCATAATTTTGGAGTTTTATTTGGGGCGTGGGCTTGGGAACTCTGGAGGCAGACTCCAATTCCCCTGAGGAAGACCTTTCCATGTATTTATGGGTGGGCTACCTGGCATTTAGAGTTGCCCAACAGAGGCTGCAGCTTGGCTTCTCTTTTCCAGCTTTGAAACTCTGAGAGTCCCACAGAAGGGAGAGTGACTGGTCTGAGGACCCTCATGGCGTTTGTGTCAGGGCTGGGGTGAGAACCAGGTCTCTGCCCTCTTCCTACCAGGGGGGCATAGCTGGTGCATGATGCCTAGGACCCTGCTGAGTTGGTGCCCTCTCCCCTCCCCTCCCTGCAGGGGTCTTCCAGGGACCTGATCTCTGTTGCCGGGAACATGACCGCTGCCCACAGAACATCTCACCCTTGCAGTACAACTATGGCATCCGAAACTACCGATTCCACACCATCTCCCACTGTGACTGTGACACCAGGTTGGTGGCAGGCAGCGAGGGCCCAGAGCTCAGGGACAGGGCAGAGTTACCCAGTTCCTGGGTAACTAGACATTGGGATTGCAGAGGATCTTAAAGCTCAGCCAGCTTGGACCCCACAGTGCAGGTAGGAAAGCTGAGGCCAGAAAGAAGGGATGCTTGGACCCCAAACCACCCAGCTGGTAGTGGCACAGTGGGCTGTGGGAGGAGCCAGACAGCCCTCCATGCCCCAGGGTCCTGGGTATCTGTTCTGGGGCAGGTTTCAGCAATGCCTACAGAATCAGCACGACTCCATCTCGGACATCGTGGGCGTGGCCTTCTTCAACGTGCTGGAGATCCCCTGCTTTGTGCTGGAGGAGCAGGAGGCGTGTGTGGCGTGGTACTGGTGGGGCGGGTACGTGGCCACCCCCTCATGTCCCTTTCCAGACAGAGAGGGAGCCCAGGCTCCAAGCCTGGTGAGGGAGAGCTATCTGTCTGTCTGTCTTCCAGGGAATGATGTCCCATCCTGCATGTCCTCTCCTGAGGGCCCGGGATGCAGACCCTCCTTGGGTGTCCCCCACAACCCAGCGGGATGGGGGATGGGACTGGCAGAGCATTGATCTCCATGGAGACGACCCTGGGGGCTTCTGGAAGGGGGATTCCCAGTCACCAATTTCCACCAACTGCCACCACCCAGGTGTAGGATGTACGGCACAGTGCCCCTCGCTCGCCTGCAGCCCAGGACCTTCTACAATGCCTCCTGGAGCTCCCGGGCCACCTCCCCAACTCCCAGCTCCCGGAGCCCAGCCCCTCCCAAGCCTCGACAGAAGCAGCACCTTCGGAAGGGGCCACCACATCAGAAAGGGTCCAAGCGCCCCAGCAAAGCCAACACCACAGCCCTCCAGGACCCTATGGTCTCTCCCAGGCTTGATGTGGCCCCCACAGGCCTCCAGGGCCCACAGGGTGGCCTAAAACCTCAGGGTGAGCTCAGAACCTAACCTTGGGGGTTCCTGACATGAGGGGGTGTCCCTGCTTCTGTTTAGGGGTGGCCATGTGTTGCCTCTTTTCCTGCACCAGTTTCCTCCTGGGATTTCCCAACCTCTCCCATGAAATCACACTGCAGCACAGGATTTTCATAATCCACGAATTTGACCACATCAGGCCCCACTGTGCACCCACCACCACTCCTCTTTATCTCAGCCAATGATGTCCCAACACCCAGAGGCCCTCAAGCCTTGGCCCTGCAGACCCTACCCCCAGTCAAAACTCTAGTTTCACAAACTTCACTTGGTTCCTCAAAAGCGCCAGGCTCTCTCCTACCGTGAGGCCTTTGCACATGCTGTTCCTCCTCTCCTTGTCTTCTCTCCCACCCTCAGTTTAGCAGCCTATGCCTCCTGGAAGCCTTTCTTGACTACCGTCAGTACTCTGGGTGTCCCCCATAGCAGTACTACCGTGTTTGGCGGCTTGGGGGTAGGGAGGCACTGCCACAAGGGCGGCACACTGAGGGCACAAAGACTCAGAAGGCATGAAATGGAGGGAATCTGTGTGTGTGACTGAGCACACGTGCTGGTGTTTCTCCCGGATGGCGCAGGCATTGGTGGGGCCTCCCTGGTGGATTGGGCTCCCATCAACACCACATCCACCCCTCAGGTGCCCGCTGGGTCTGCCGCAGCTTCCGCCGCCACCTGGACCAGTGTGAGCACCAGATTGGGCCCCGGGAAATCGAGTTCCAGCTGCTCAACAGCGCCCAAGAGCCCCTCTTCCACTGCAACTGCACGCGCCGGTGAGGCCCCTTTGAACCCTCGCGGGGTGGGCTGCCTGCTGCCAGGCATGGGAAGGGGCCCCTGGCTGGCAAGGCCCTGCCCCGGCCTGAGCCTGCCTCTGTTCTCAGTCTGGCACGCTTCCTGAGGCTCCACAGCCCACCCGAGGTTACCAACATGCTTTGGGAGCTGCTGGGCACAACCTGCTTCAAGCTGGCCCCTCCACTGGACTGTGTGGAAGGCAAAAAGTAAGTGATGTCAGAGCCAGGAGGGATGGGGGGTTTTCTCAAAGGGTGGGTTGCCTATACCCACTTTGAATGCTTGGGCCAAGGGGTAGGGGAAGGGATCCGGAGACCTCTGAGCTCCTATCCATAGCCTCATCCCTCTACCCCCTGCTGCCCCAGGTCCAGCTCTGCAGTTGGCCTCTATGGGTCGCATCTTGGCTTTGTCATTTGATTCCCACATGACCTTGGCAACTGGTTCACCTTTCCAAGTTTCCATGTCTTTGTCTGTAAAATGGTCGTAGGAACCAAGGAAACGGCAGGATGCACATAGGTCATGCCCCGCCTGGCACACAGCAAAATGTGTACTTAACTCACTCCTAATCCACAATCTCATTTGGTCTTGAACTTCTGGACTCGAGCGATCCTCCCACCTCGGCCTCCTAAAGTGCTGGGATTACAGGCGTGAGCCACTGTGCTCTGCTTTCATCTGGATTCCGATTCTCAAAGCCAGCTCCTTCTTAACTTTCCCATTTCATAGATGAGGCTGAGGCTTCTGGCTCAGGTTTCCACAGCCAGCTAGTGGCAGAACCCAGGCCTCCAGGTACCAGCCCGGTTTATTATACCCTTTCTCCGTGAAACCCACCCCTCTCTGCCTTGCTGGTGACTGTGGCCCCAGCCCCCTCTCTCTCTGGGCCTCAGCCCACTGTCTGCAGAGTAAGGTGGGATCCTTGTCAGCCCTGATCATCTGCCCCACTCTTCTCTCCTTACAGCTGTTCCAGAGACCCTAGGGCCATCAGGGTGTCAGCCCGGCACTTGCGGAGGCTTCAGCAGAGGCGACACCAGCTCCAGGATAAAGGCACAGATGAGAGGCAGCCATGGCCTTCAGAGCCCCTGAGAGGCCCCATGTCATTCTACAACCAGTGCCTGCAGCTAACCCAGGCAGCCAGGAGACCCGACAGGCAGCAGAAGTCCTGGAGCCAGTGACCTCAGTTTCAGCTTTCCTGGGCACCAGCCTGGACCTTGCCCATGGCTATGCCAAGCCTTGGGAATCTCAGCCTCCCCTCCGTAGGTTAGACTGAAGCATGGCAGAGGCTGTTGTGGACAATCAAGAGGATGAATGGGGGGATCTCAAGGCCCAAATGCTGGACCACATCTCCTGCTGTTCTGGGTAACCTTGAGCTATGTATGACACAACTCTTCTATGCCTGGATGTGGTGTTCAGGAAGCTCATTCTGATGCCCTGGGCTTTGGCCTTGCCAGGGAACTTCACATACAGATGAGAATGGGGAAAGGGTAACTTATTGCAGCAGCCCCAGGCAGTACCAGGAGGAGGTACATGTATGTCCGTGTTGCAAAAATAATACATGCCTCAAAAACCTGCCTAGGGGAGCCCTAGTGCCTGGGTGCTGTGGCCTGAGGTAGCAGGTGGGAAGTTAGGGATGTCACAGAAATGTCTGTGTCTGAATCCAGGATTGGGGTGGGTGTTGGAGAGGGCTTTCAGCTCCCCTCCTCCCAGGGGGGCCTCTTTTTTTAACGGCTGCCGTGCCCTTCCTGGCCCAGCCCTAAACCTAAATTCAAATCTCCTCCATGCCTTTGCGCAAAGGACCTCCCTCTTGCACTCTAAGCCTTAGTTTCCTCCTCTAAAAAAAGGGGGTCTCTAAACAGGAGCTACCTCATAGGGTTGTTGAGGATTAAGTGAACCAATACATATACAGTGCTTAGCACTTAATAAGTATTCCCCCCTGCGACACCTAGCTGAACTATGGTTTGGTGTCTGATCTTGAGAGGTTGATGTAACCTTTTAAAGGCCTCAGTTCGCTCACCTGTGAAATGGGTCTAAGAATAGCACTGATCTCACAGGGTTGTGATGCAGATTAAAGGAGATGGCATGTGTAATGTATACAGCTGGTGCCTGGTAAATGTCGGTTCTGTCATTCCCTCACCTCTTCAGTCCCTGCCTCTGACTACCACCATCCCAAGACTACTAACAAGTAGGAAAGAGCCGAGAGTGAGGCTGGAGAATTTAATTCCTAATGGATGACCTCCAGGATTGGGACATCTGCCAGAGCTCTCCCATCATCCCAGATGGGGGCCTGGGTGGGGCTTTGCTGATTGTCACAGTTGAGGTGCCAGGACTGAGTTTTGGGGGACCCCAGTTGTCCACCCCTGGCCAGGACAGAGAGGCAGGTGCAGATACAGCTGGAGGAGCAGCAGGAGAGAGGCAGGTGGGCTTGCAAAAGATTGAGGCAGAATGGTGGTCACCTTGGCCCATCTGCCTACCCCACCCTCAGGGCCCCAGGCCCCCTTCCTCCAGCCCCCGATGGCCCTGGGGACTAGGAGACAGGCTGTTGGGCGCCAGGGCCTCCCGATCAGGTCCCCAGGAGCCACCACCACCAGGGTCTACAGTCTCTAGGCGCAAGGCGGGCAACAGGCCCAGGCTTCGAGGCACAGCTGGTGGGAAGGCCCAGGGGCCAGGCAACCCAGAGGGCCCCTCTTCACTACTGCCCCGGCTGCTGCCATTACTGCTCCTGTCAGGAGCCACTCGGGACAGGCGGCGGCTCTGGGGTGAGGGGCTACGGCTGGCACCACGGCGTTCACGGGATGAGGGCCGTAGGGCAAGCCCAGGGAACCTGGCCAGTCCCGGGCTGCGGCTGCGGTGTCGCTTGGACTTGCCAGGACTGGGGCTGCGGGACTTGGGTGCAAGGAGCTCCAGTGTGCTGTCATCCTCTCCCTCTGAGCTGGTGCCTGAGCTGTCTGTGCTGCTGCTGGCCAACTCCGAGGAAGGCAGCGAGATCTGGGGGAAATGCTGGTCACTGGGGCGCCCTGCTCCCCAACCCAGCCACTGAGGCCTGACCTCCCGAGGTCTGCCTCTCTCGTTGGCAGATCTTGGGAGGTCAGGT